>NC_000010.11:11828181-11979696 GCF_000001405.40 Homo sapiens | reverse complement strand
TTTACCTCATGATCTGCCTGCCTCGGCCTCCCAAAGTGCTGGGATTACAGGCGTGAGCTACCACGCCCAGCCTATTGATTACCTTTTTACTTTAGACCTTGAGGTTTCCAAATAACTTACCCTGAGATAAATGAAGGAAATGGCTTTAAAGGATTTTGTCTTGCACTAGAGAAGTTACCTTGAGATTTGTAAATATGCAGTTACTCAGTAATTATGTGATTAAAAATTTAAGTCGTGTCAAAACATACTGTTTTTTTGTGTGTGGTGTTTCATATTTCATCAAAATTACATAATAAAACTACAGATGTGCAGTAAATTCACGGAATGGAAAATGCCAGAATATTAATAAAATTGTAGAAGGCTCATTGAATTTTCAAACACTTCTTTATGATGGCAATAAATAGGCATGTCTGTATGATTATGAGTTTTAAGATCATTTAATGTGTGAATACATCTGAAAAGTTTAAATTTTAAAATGAATTATTTTTGATATGTCTTTCCTTTGACACATATCACATATAACTTTTGCAGGTTGGATTTGCTACCATTTTATGCAAGATTGGTTGCTACATTGCATCCCTGCATGTCTGATGTAGCAGAGGATCTTTGTTCCATGCTGAGGGGGGATTTCAGATTTCATGTATGTATTTAAGCATTTATTTTGAAATATTTATATTCTTATACGTTGAGTGAGGATTCTTTAAGAATGTAATTGTTGGTAAGCATATTCTTGAAATTTGATAGTGGTATAACAGTTTAGAATTTACGGCATTCTAAATTTTTGAAATGTGATTTACTTAACGAAGCTTGAAATTGATCAGTGATATTCTGGTTGGGAGGTGAGCTGTTCCTGCTACCTTGTTCCCCCATTGCGGGAACAGCACTTTTTGCTTTTCTAAGGTAGAAATCATTCTCCAGGGTCAAGACAGCCAGAGCCTTCACTGGTGTTTCCAAAAGAAACATCATTGGCTGCCATGAGTCCGGGTGTGGTGCCACATAGGATATGCTTCTTTAGGTGCTTGGGTCCAAATGTGTGGCGTCTGCAAGTTTCCATCAATACTCTGATACTAGCAAGTGCTGCCATAGCCTGTGTTTCTTTGATTTTGCCTTAAGAAGTTTTACCTTGGACCATGGTGAGTTTTTTAAAGATCACCCTGGGAAATAACAGGGGCCTGTTACCAGATGGCTTCCCTTCCTCTCTAACCCTAGAAGTATGAACAAACTATGTGTTAGTGGTTCTCCCAACCCATGTTACCCAGTTATTTCACGGAGGTGCTTCTGCTTCAAATACAGGCTTGATAGTGGGGAAATGATACTGCCAGAGGTGACTAAAAGTGGACATTGTTAGACTGTGAAAAAACATGAAATTCAATTGTAGTTAGCCAATGGAAAAGTGGTGTTTACAAAACTTCGCTTTATCATAAGTTGCTCAGAATGCAAATGAAAACGGGAAATGTCCGCACACGCTTTCTCTCACTCACTGTGCACCAGTCAGTAGTGTTGCCAAGCTCTCGCAAGAACAGACACAATTCTGAGGTCAGGAACTCACGATGTAGTTGAGGACACAAGGTTTAAATAAAAATTAATCCTTAAATATAATAGCTGTAAGGAATTGCATGGTGAATTGCCAAGTGAATTATTGGAGAGTGGGTGCTTTGAGTGCGAAGGAAGGAGAGAGTCTCTTGCAGAGGAGAATGGTCTGTAAGCACTTCTTGTTATTATGAGATTTGTGGTTAAGATTTTTCTGGGCCAACTTTTGCTAAAGTGTTTTTCAGATTTTCATAGGTAGTAGTACGTAAGGGAAGGTTTCTATGTTTAGAGAGGTTGGAAACACTGAACTCAATAAAGTTAAGTGGTTTTGTTTTGTTTTGTTGTAAGAATTCTCAAAGCATTAATATGGTAATGTGCTCTGTGAATCTCCTGGAGGGGCATGAATATGGAGCCCCTCAAAGAACACACTTTGATAAATGCTGCTAGTTCAGAGACAGATATAGCAGAAGCCGTGATATTCTTGTTGATATGTTTAATCCCATTGTACAAAGAAGGAACTGTTTTACTAGTGGACAGTATGAGTTATTATATCGGTTATATGCCTATACCCCTCAGCCAATCCCCAAATTAAAACACAAGTTGCTGGACCAAGCATAATTAGTGCTTTTGGTGAAAAACTTAAATTAAGAAAATTCTGTCTATATGTACTCTCTCATTTGAAAATGGGGGTGAGAGTTGGGGAATTAGCATTTTTATTGTACTATTGCAATGCTTCATTACAAGGGAAGAATATCAGAACTCCAGGAGCATACTTTGGGAACCAGTGCTCTCGAAGGAGAGAAGAAAGAGCACTCTACAAACTTGATCACCTTCTACTTCCTCCAGGATCTATAGACTTTGCCAACAATTTTCTATTAGGCAGAAACACATTCACCACTCACATCCTTAAATCAAAGTGACAGCAACAAACACCTTTTCTCAGCATCCCCTGCCCTCCCCCCGCTGCAACTATTTCATTTCCTTCTTATTGAAGTGTTTTACAGTATACTTGTCTCTGTTTCTCCTGACATTTACTCTTTGATTCACCATCATAGCAGCACCCTGGCAGAGACCACCAGTGTTTTTCCAGTTGCCTGTTAGTTGGTGTCTCTGCAGATTCGAAACTGTGCCCCACTCTCCGGTGTTCTAGGAAGCCTGCCTCTGGCTCCACCACATGCTAGCATCGTAACTTTGGCCAACTTACGCAACTGTTCTAAGCCTTGGTTTCCATGTCTACCAGGTGGGGTTCATAACTGCATCTTTTAAAATAGGATTGTTCTTAAGGATTAAATGAAATAATGCACATGCAGCTCCTCACATAGCATCTGTACATAAATATTATTTTAATAATAATTATACCTTCTATACCACCATTCTCTCCTGGTTCTTACTTGTGTTACTATTCTTAATCTCCTCCACCTTTTTTCCTAGCTGAGTTTCTTTGTTGGGATTGGCTCAGCTTTCTTCCTTCAGCCTCCTTTTTAATGGGATGCATTTACCTGGCCTTTAATTCACATCTATTTCTCAACAACCCCAAATATACATATCTTGCCAGAATCTCTCTTATGATACTTAGAAAGTTTTCATGTACTTGGAGCTAAATTAGTCCCCAAACCAAATTCATTATTTTCTTCTTAAAAATGTCTTTTACTTCCTTGAATCTGCTTCTGTATTTCCCATGTAAATTTACAATGTATTTTGTCCAGTTACTGAGATAAATACCTCTACTTTTGCACCTAGACATTTAGGAGCCATTGTTTACTAAATTCATTTGATGCTGTCTTCTAAAAGAACTAAAATCTAGCATCTCCTCTTCATACCTCCTGCCACTGTCTTTCATTTTCCATACCTGGAGTTATGATAGTAGATTTTTAACGAGCTTTTCCCGTCTCTGTCTTCTACCTAGATCCAGTATATTTCTGCAGTCTGGTATGTTTTTCCCCCTAAGAACCTCAGCTGAGAAATAAAGCAGGTTAACAAAGCTGTATGAAATGTCACTGGCAGTTAAGGAAATTCTAGTTGAAACAATGGGTTTGCTAATTTCACTGACGATTAGAAAAGGTAATAGAAATTAGAAACCAACATTCTCAGATACTTCAGGTGGGAATCTGGTGAAGCTGTTTGGCACTAGATTTCAAGAGCCCTAGAGGCATTCACACATTGGACAGCTATGAGGACATGTCCTAAGTAAACAAATCTATGTACCAAAAAACTGTGATTCACAGTATGACTCTAATAGGGAAAACTGATCATCTGAAAGCCCAACAGTGGATTAATAAAATGGTCATCTAATCACAATGCTGAAATGATGGACAGCCATTTGAATTGATGTTTACAAAAACGTTTTTAGGGCCGGGCGCGGTGGCCCACACCTGTAATCCCAGCATTTTGGGAGGCCAAGGCGGGTGGATTACCGGAGGTTGGGAGTTCGAGACCAGCCTGACCAACATGGAGAAACTCCGTCTCCCTAAAAAAAAAAAAAACAACAAAATTAGCCGGGCGTGGTGGCACATGCCTGTAATCCCAGCTACTCAGGAGGCTGAGGCAGGAGAATCACTTGAACCCGGGAGGTGGAGGTTGCAGTGAGCTGAGATTGCGCCACTGCACTCCAGCCTGGGCAACAAGAGTGAAACTCCATCTCAAAAAACAACAACAACAAAGTTTTTATATCAGAAAGTGCTTTTTTCAAAAGCGAGATATAAAATCTTACATATAATAAACGGACACTTAAAATGCTTAGAAAGTAGAAAAGAGAAAACAATTACATATCAGTATGTTAACGTAGCAGTCTTTGGATGGTGGGAACATGAGGAATTCTTTTCCGTTCTAATTTTCTGTGTTCTCTAAAGTTTCAGTGTGGCCTACTTCTTTAGTGATGAGGGGGACAGCTTTTTGTTTTGTTTTAAGAGATGGTATCTTACTCTGTCACCCAAGGTGGAGTGCAGTGGCATGATCATAGCTCACTGCAGCCTCAAACTTCTGGACTCACGCAATCCTCCTGTTTTAGCCTCCCAAGTAACTACGACTACAGGCGCATGCCAACACGCCTGACTGGGGAGACAACTTTTATTTAACATAAGCAAATTACAGTCATTGACATTTTAAAAATTAATCATCTTCCAACTTTTTGATTAAGTTTCTTTATTTGTTAAAATAAGTTGACTATATACCCCCATTATAGGTATATTTATTTCAAAATTATATACCTTGGCAGTTGTACCAAATATTTTTGTGCATTATAAACCATACAAAAACAAATAGATATGTGTGAGATAAAACATATAAATAGAATTTTCAGTTTCCCCTCCCTACTCCAAGTAGATAAATAGTCTTATGCACTCTACTTTGGAGATCACTGGTTCACAAAAGTTTTTAAAGAGTTTCAAAACTCTTTAATTCCAGCAGCACATCAAAAAGCTTATCCGCCATGATCAAGTGGGCTTCATCCCTGGGATGCAAGGCTGGTTCAGCATATGCAAATCAGTAAACGTAATCCATCGTAGAAACAGAACCAAAGACAAAAACCACACGCTTATCTCAATAGATGCAGAAAAGGCCTTTGACAAAATTCAACAGCCCTTCATGCTCAAAACTCTCAATAAATTAGGTATCAATGGGACATATCTCAAAATAATAAGAGCTATTTATGACAAACCCACAGCCAATATCATACTGAATGGGCAAAAACTGGAAGCATTCCCTTTGAAAACTGGCACAAGACAGGGATGCCCTCTCTTACCACTCCTATTCAGCATAGTGTTGGAAGTTCTGGCCACGGCAATCAGGCAGGAGAAAGAAGTAAAGGGTATTCAATTAGAAAAAGAGGAAGTCAAATTGTCCCTGTTTGCAGATGACATGATCGTATATTTAGAAAGCCCCATCGTCTCAGCCCAAAATCTCCTTAAGCTGATAAGCAACTTCAGCAAAGTCTCAGGATACAAAATCAACGTGCAGAAATCACAAGCATTCCTATACACCAATAACAAACAGAGAGGCAAATCATGAGTGAACTCCCATTCATAATTGCTTCAAAGAGAATAAAATACCTAGGAATCCAACTTACAAGGGATGTAAAGGACCTCTTCAAGGAGAAGTACAAACCACTGCTCAACGAAATAAAAGAGGACACAAATGGAAGAACATTCCATGCTCACGGATAGGAAGAATCAATATCATGAAAATGGCCATACTGCCCAAGGTAATTGATAGATTCAGTGCCATCCCCATCAAACTACCAAAGACTTTCTTCACAGAATTGGAAAAAACTACTTGAAAGTTCATAGGGAACCAAAAAAGAGCCCGCATTGCCAAGACAATCCTAAGCAAAAAGAACAAAGTTAGAGGCATCATGCAACCTGACTTCAAGCTATACTACAAGGCTACAGTAACCAAAACAGCATGGTACTGGTACCAAAATAGAGATATAGACCAATGGAACAGAACAGAGCCCTCAGAAATAATACCACACATCTACAACCATCTGATCTTTGGCAAACCTGACAAAAACAAGAAATGGGGAAAGGATTCCCTATTTAATAAATAGTGTTGGGAAAACTGGCTAGCCATATGTAGAAAGCTGAAACTGGATCCCTTCCTTACACCTTATACAAAAATTAATTCAAGATGGATTAAAGACTTAAATATTAGACCTAAAACCATAAAAACCCTAGAAGAAAACCTAGACAGTACCTTTCAAGACATAGGCATGGACAAGGACTTCATGTCTAAAACACCAAAAGCAATGGCAACAAAAGCCAGAATTGACAAATGGGATCTAATTAAACTAAAGAGCTTCTGCACAGCAAAAGAAACTACCATCAGAGTGAATAGGCAACCTACAGAATGGGAGAAAATTTTTACAATCTACCCATCTGACAAAGGGCTAATATCCAGAATCTACAAAGAACTTAAACAAATTTACAAGAAAAAATTAAACAGCCCCGTCAAAAAGTGGGCAAAGGATATGAATAGACACTTCTCAAAAGAAGACATTTATGCAGCCAACAGACACATGAAAAAATGCTCATCATCACTGGCCATCAGAGAAATGCAAATCAAAACCACAATGAGATACCATCTCACACCAGTTAGAATGGCGATCATTAAAAAGTCAGGAAACAACAGGTGCTGGAGAGGACGTGGAGAAATAGGAACACTTTTCCACTGTTGGTGGGACTGTAAAGTAGTTCAACCATTGTGGAAGACAGTGTGGCGATTCCTCAAGGATCTAGAACTGGAAATACCATTTGACCGCACCATCCCATTACTGGATATATACCCAAAGGATTATAAATCATGCTGCTATAAAGACACACGCACACGTATGCTTATTGTGGCACTATTCACAAAAGCAAAGACTTGGAACCAACCCAAATGCCCATCAGTGATAGACTGGATTAAGAAAATGTGGCACATTATACACCATGGAATACTATGCAGCCATAAAAAAGGATGAGTTCATGTCCTTTGTAGGGACATGGATGAAGCTGGAAACCATCATTCTGAGCAAACTATTGCAAGGACAGAAAACCAAACGCTGCATGTTCTCACTCATAGGTGGGAATTAAACAATCAGAACACTTGGACACAGGGAGGGGCACATCACGCACCGGGGCCTGTCGTGGAGTGGAGGGAGAGGGGAGGGATAGCATCAGGAGATATACCTAATGTAAATGACGAGTTAACGGGTGCAGCACACCAACATGGCACATGTATACCTATGTAACAGACCTGCACATTGTGCACATGCACCCTAGAACTTAAAGTATAATAATAATAAAAAAAAGAGAGTTTTCTATGTCAAGGCAAATTTACTTATTTATAGAGTCAGTACTGATTTTATGTTTAGCCTACAGTAGGTTTTCAGAAAAGTTTGATGAGTGAATAAACTTCATGTAAAACAAAGTGAGCAAATTATGGAAGATAGAAAATCTCTATTTGGGTGAATAACTATTTGGCCCTTCTAGAGGGGCCAGCTTGACTAGAACAGAGGGTTCTTTCTGTAGGAAAGTGATAAATGATAGGCCTTAGGAAATCCTTACAGTTCATGTGTGTTGACATATCTGAAGAGTGTTTTTTTGTGTGTTTTTTTTTTTTTTTTTTTGAGACAGAGTCTTGCTCTGTTATCCGGGCCAGAGTACAGTGGTGCGATCTTGGCTCACTGTAACCTTAGCCTTCTGGGTTCAAGTGATTCTCCTGCCTCAACCTTCCAAGTAGCTGGGACTACAGGCACAGGCCACCATACCTGGCCAATTTTTGTACTTTTAGCAGAGACAGGGTTTTACCATGTTGGCCAGGCTGATCTCAAACTCCTGACCTTAAGTGATCCGCCTGCCTTGGACTCCCAAAGCGCTGGGATTATAGGCATGAGCCACTGTGCCCGGCCTGAAGAGTTTTAATTAGTATATACAAACTTTGTTATTCAATTAATCTAAATTTTAGTTGTCTTTAGCAGAGTTGCAAGCCACATTTTTGCTATGGATGATTGATTATATAAGTAAAATCTTACAAGAGGCATTATTGAGCTATAAATATATAGAAAATGTTACATTGTGAATTCATCCAGAAGTGTTTTGACATATTTTTGATCATAAGGTTTTAAGAAATGAGAGTGAAGACCGGGCGCGGTGGCTCACGCCTGTAATCCCAGCACTTTGGGTGGCCGAGGTGGGCGGATCACCTGAGGTCAGGAGTTCGGCCAGCCTGACCAACATGGAGAAACCGCATCTCTACTAAAAATACAAAATTAGCCAGGCATGGTGGCGTATGCCTTTAATCCCAGCTACTTGGGAGGCTGAGGCAGGAGAATCACTTGAACCCGGGAGGCGGAGGTTGCGGTGAGCCGAGATTGCGCCGTTGCACTCCAGCCTGGGCAACAAGAGCAAAACTGTCTCAAAAAAAAAAAAAAAGAAAGAAATGAGAGTGAAAAATGTTGAATGAGGAGTGAAAATGTTAGCCATTTTTATAAGTTACAACCTTTTAAAACGCCTTCAGTTTTCTCATCTGAAAATGAGGGAGTGAGATCATTGATTTATAACACTTCATTTAAATGTTGTATAATTTTATCTTTTTTATTAGATCTAACCTCCTTAACCTTTATAATATTTCAGAATAATTAGAATTAATGTAAATATATGATGTGGATGATACAGGATGTTAACATGTTTTGAAAACTAGAATGCTTAGTAATGCTTAAAATGGTGTGATACTCCATAGCAGATGATGAAGAGGATATGCATCCAACGTCATCCAAGGAGATTTAAAAATATATATATATATATTTCCCAACCCTACTGACCCTAAAGACTTAGTTTTAGTATATAGTTTTTTGTTATTTATTTATTTATTTATTTTTTGAGTTAGAGTCTCACTCTGTCGCCCGGGCTGGAATGCAGTGGCATGATCTCAGCTTGCTGCAACCTCCCCGTCCCAGGTTGAAGCAATTCTTGTGCCTCAGCCTCCCGAGTAGCTGGGATTACAGGCACGTGCCACCATGCCCAGCTAATTTTTGTATTTTTAGTAGAGACAGGGTTTCACCGTGTTGGCCAGGCTGGTCTCAAACTCCTGACCTCAAGTGATCCACCTGCCTTGGCCTTCCAAAGTGCTGTGATCACAAGTGTGAGCCACCATGCCCAGCCAGTTTTAGTGTGTAGTTTTTGATGTGCTTTCTTACGTGTTTTCTCAAACAAAGACACAAGGTCAGTGTAATTTAGAAAACATTTAAAGTAAAAAAAAAAGGAAAGAAAAATCCCAGTTTCATTACTTAATAGCAGACTCTTAACATTTTGGTGGTTGTTTTTTAGTTTTATTTTTACCTTTTTTTCTCTATAGTTTTTCATGACTGAATTATATTTTATGTATAATTTTCTGTTATTTCTCGGAAGCATTTTACCCTGTCATTAAAATACTCCTTAAACATCATTTTAAAAGTTGTATAATCTTCTTTTGTCCTGTACATTAATTGCTTAGTACCAAGTGAAGTGTAGTCACTACCATCATCATCATTATCCTTACTTTACCAAGTGGGCAGACAGGCTCAGGGAGTTTATATGACTTGCTCAAGATAATGTATCCCATAAAGTGATCTCAAGAGCACAGACATTCTAACTCTAGAACTTTTGCTCTTTCACGTCACTGCAATATGTATATTAAGCTTTAGCTTTTCAGTTATTTTTCAGCAAACATTTATTTAGTGCCCATGTATTAGAGATACAGATATACAAGGAAGGATAAAATTAGTGATAGCTAATATTTATTGAACCCTTACTGGTCCAAAGCACTGTTTTATGTGCTTTACAAGTATTATCTTATTTAAGACTCACAACCCTATTAGGTCCAATTTACAGATAAGGACATTGAGACACAGGTTAAGTAACAGGCAGTAAGTGTAAGTAATAGTGCTGGGATTGAAATCCAGCAAAACTGGTCCACAGTGCACACTCAATCAATCCTCGAAGCTCAGAAAATAAGGTAAATTAATAAGAGAAGTTTTTTATGTGCATGTATATGAAACATTTATTTGTGAAAGTTTCTTTATGAAGGCTGTACTTCTTTCTAAATTACAAGGCTAATAATAAGCAGTCAAGTTTATTGAGTATCATTTTGTTTAATATTAAAAATGAGACATTCTATTTTATATTTGTCGCTAATTGCAAAACTATTTTGTATGCTTAAATGATGTCATTAAAAAAAAGTTCTGGCTGGGAGCAGTGTCTCACACCTTATAATCCCAGCACTTTTGGAGGCCGAGGCGGGTGGATCACGAGGTCAGGAGTTCGAGACCAGCCTGACCAACATAGTGAAACCCCGTCTCTACTAAAAATACAAAAAATTAGCCGGGCATGGTGGCGGGCGCCTGTAATCCCAGGTACTCGGGAGGCTGAGGCAGGAGAATCACTTGAACCCGAGAGGCAGAGAGGTTGCAGTGGTCTGAGATCGCGCCATTGCACTCCAGCCTGAGCAACAGTATGAGACTCTGTCTCAAAAAAAGAAAAAAAAAAGTTCTAGGCTGATTGTGGTGGCTCATGCCTGTAATCCCAGCATTTTGGGAAGCCTAGGCGGATGGATCACTTGAGGCCAGGAGTTTGAGACCAGCCTGGGCAACACTGTGAAACCCCATCTCTACTAAAAATACAAAAATTTAGCCGGGCATGATGGCACACACCTGTAATCGCAGCTACTCGGGAGGCTGAGGCACAAAAATCTCTTTAACCCAGGAGGTGGAGGTCGCAGTGAGCCGAGATTGTGCCACTGCACTCCAGCCTGGGCGACAGAGTGAGACTGTCTCAGAAAACAAGAAAAGAAAGTGCTAAACTAATTCAGGGCACCACATTATGGTCACTGGTGTTAAAATGAAAGTTTTCTAGACTGTAGGTTTGGTTTTCCGATGAAAATGGAATTCTGAGGTTAAATTCAATTACATTTATCTTGATGTGTCTGTTTGCATTGTACTGTTGCAGCAGGATTTTGTTGCATCTGATAATTCTTGAAATTTGTGCCTAATTAGAGGACTTACATGTGCAAAGGACTTAAACTTTGACATACAACCATGACTGGTGATAAAAAAGAACAGTGATTATATTGGCTCTTTCCTTGTAATGTATTTATAATAAAAATGTAGCATAGTTTATAATTACAATGCACTAGCCAGCCTGAATACCAGTTTTGCTTAGGTGAGCACTTGGCATTCTTATTTTTAAAGCAGCATTTCCTAAAGTGTGTTCCTTATAGTATTAATTTAATGGGATGTTAACTAATAGTTAACATTTCAAAAAGAAGGTTGGTGTTGCCAAATAAATTTGAAAAACATTGACTTAAAGTTTTCCTTATTTAAGAACCTCCTTAGGCCGGGTAAAATTCATTTTATTCTCCAAATTACTCGACCATGGAACTGTTTTGCAGAGCACATCTTGGGACTGGTGTTATACAGAGCAATTTTTTCTTTAACTTACAATAGTTTGAATATAACAAGAATTTTTTTTTTCTTTTGAGATGGAGTCTTGCTCTTGTCACCCAGGCTGGAGTGCAGTGGCATGATCTTGGCTCACTGCAACCTCTGCCTCCGGGGTTCAAGCAATTCTCCTGCCTCAGCTTCCCAAGTAGGTGGGATTACAGGCGCCTGCCACTACGCCTGGCTAATTTTTGTGTTTTTAGTAGAGACAGGGTTTCGCCATCTTGGCCAGGCAGTCTCGAACTCCTGACCTCGTGATCCGCCAACCTCGGCCTCCTGAAGTGCTGGGATTACAGGTGTGAGCCACCGCACCCGGCCTATAGCAAGAAATTTTACCCATATGTATTAAAAATATCTGGAGTGGGCTGGGCACGGTGGCTCACGCCTCTAATCCCAGCACTTTGAGAGGCTGTGGTGGGTGGATTACCTGAGGTCAGAAGTTGGGGACCAGCCTGGCCAACATGATGAAACCCCTTCTCTACTAAAAATACAAAAAATTACCCAGCTGGGTGTGGTGGTGGGCGCCTGTAATCCCAGCTACTCGGGAGGGTGAAGCAGGAGAATTGCTTGAACCCAGGAGGCGGAGGTTGCAGTGAGCCAAGATTGCACCGTTGCACTCCAGCCTGGGTAACAAGCGAAACTCTGTCTCAAAAAAAAAAAAAAAAAAAAAACTGGAGTGAATTCGAATGCATTAAAATAATAGTTTTTATCACAGAGATTCAAAATGTTGATTAAGCATTATCTTTTCTCTCTTAATTTTTAGGTACGGAAAAAGGACCAGATCAATATTGAAACAAAGAATAAAACTGTTCGTTTTATAGGAGAACTAACTAAGTTTAAGATGTTCACCAAAAATGACACACTGCATTGTTTAAAGGTTAGTGCTGAATTAGTTGATTGTTTTTAATTGAAAAGTTTAAAGTTTTAATTATAAATGGTGGATAAAGTGAAATAATTTAATATTTGATTAATCCAAAAGAAGACCAAGAAAGGAAGAAAAAGTAACGTTAAACAAGTGTGCAAAATACAAAACAAATAGTGAGATCTTAGATACTTATGCAGTTCTACGAGTAATTACGTGAAATCTAAAAAGGGTGAAATATGTCAAGTAAAAGCCTTAAAAATATAAAACTTGATTAAAACAACTACTAGGAGCCATCTACAACAGAGTCACCCTTAAATATGAAGATGAGAAAAATTAAATAAAAAAATGGGGAAAATATGCTATACAAATACTAATAAAATGAAAGCTGGTTTCTCTGTATTATCATAGAGGTTAAAAATATTGACTGGTGGTAGTTATCTTACTCTGTCATGTGAATACAAACATTTCTACCTAAACTGAAACATCCCATACATATGAGTTGCCATCCCTGGAGAGCTGTAGAAATTTTTTCTCAGTTGGCTACCGGTGAGTTCACAGTCTTCCAAGGGGTAATTAAGTTCAACCTGTAACACTTTTGACAAAGCCATGAAGTATTATTAGAAATGAAGGGCTGGGCGTGGTGGCTCACGCCTTTAATCCCAGCACTTTGGGAGGCTGAGGCAGGTGGATCACCTGAGATCGGGAGTTCGAGACCAGCCTGACCAACATGGAGAAACCCCGTCTCTACTAAAAATACAAAATTAGCCAGGCATGGTGGTATGCACCTGTAATCCCAGCTACTCGGGAGGCTGAGGGAGGAGAATCACTTGAACCCAGGAGGTGGAGGTTGTGGTGCGCCAAGATCACACCATTGCACTCCAGTCTGGGTAACAAGAGTGAAAGTCCGTCTCAAAAAAAAGAAAAAAAGAAATAAGGCTGGTTTGTAATGATAAAGAGGTTATTTTAACAGGAAAAGATTACCTTTCTGAATCAGTATGCAACCAATAACATGGCTTCAAAATATATAAAGCAAAAATTGTCAAGTAACAGAGTAAATATCTTACAATCATAGTCAGAGACTTGAAAACACCTCTCAGTAGCTGAAACAACAGGCAGACAGAATAAGTAAGTATATACAGAATTGGAACAACACAGTTACCAATGGTGATCTAATTTATACTATATCCAACAGCAGCAGAATTTACAATCTTTTCAAATGCCTATGGATTATTTACCAAAATCAGTCATAAAGTCTTAGAAAATTTGGAAGATTGAAATTACTCAGATTATGTTTTTTGTCCAAATAGAATTAAAGTAGAAATTAATTAGTAACAGTAATTAATTATATGTGGTAAAGCTGGTGGAGAATAGATGGAATAATTCTTCTGCATTTGAAATTGATCATTCCGTTACTAAGGTTGTTTTTTTCTATAACAAATTTTTCATCAACTTGATTTCCTTGAGATCTTAATAGATATATCACACAAAACAGGTCTCATGGATTCAAATACATTTGGAACATCCTGAGGTAAACAAAATTAAACAGTTTTTTTTTTAATGCATGACTTCTTAGAGTTTTTAAAATACTAATAGAGGCCGGACGTGGTGGCTCACGCCTGTAATCCCAGCACTTTGGGAGGCCGAGGCGGGCAGATCATGAGGTCAGGAGATCGAGACCATCCTGGCTAACACGGTGAAACGCCGTTTCTACTAAACATACAAAAAATTAGCCGGGAGTGGTGGCAGGCACCTGTAGTCCCAGCTACTTGGGAGGCTGAGGCAGGAGAATGGCATGAACCTGAGAGGTGGAGCTCGCAGTGAGCCGAGATTGCGCCACTGCACTCCAGACTGGGTGACAGAGCCAGCCTCCATCTCAAAAATAAATAAATAAAATACTAATAAGTATTGTAAATATTGAAGGGATAAGTTTCCTAATCCTTCTTAGAGCATCTCTGGAAACTAGTATACTGATAAGTATATTTAGGTAAATTCCAGATAGCATTATAGAAGGGATTATGAAAATGTTCTGAGTGCTGAAATTGAAAGGAATATGCTGTGAATTGTTTAAATGTATTGGTGTATTTCTTTGTACTAATTCTTAAAAATATATAGGAAGAATATACACTTTTTTGACACAGAAATTTCTTTCCCAGGAATTCATTTTAAGGAAATAATCATAAATATGTCCACAGATTTCTCTACAATGATGTATGTCCCACCATTTTTATAATACAGGTTGATGAGCATTCCTAATCTGAAAATGTAAAATTTGAAATCCTCCAAAATTCAAAACTTTTTGAGTACCATTGTGACACATGTCACCTGACTTCATGTGGCAAGTCACAGTCAAAACACAGTCACAACTTTATTTCATATAAAATATATACTGTATAAATTACTTTCAGGCTGTGTTTATAAGGTTATATGAGACATAAATGAATTTTGTGTATAGATTTGGGTCCCATCCTCAGGCTGTCTCATTATATATGTGCAAATACTGTATTCCACAATCTCAGAAAATTGGAAATCCGAAACATTTCTGGTCCCAGGCATTTCAGATAAGGGATACTTCACCTGTAGCAAGAAATGGAAGGCAATTGGGGTGATGGATAAGAATCAAGTAAGTTTTAATCTCGTTCATATTATGTAGCACTATATACTTTGCAAATCATGCCATAGAAGGACAAAAAAGGACACAAAAAATTTTTCCTAGTAAGCCAGAAGAACCAAGTGATTAAATGATACAATAGAAACCAAATTCTCAAATGTCTCAATCTGTTTTAGTTTAGAAATACGCGTAAATGATTAGGAGGGTAAATACTAAAATGTCCTAGTGATAGGTTGTGTCTATAATTCATATAATGAGCAAATAATACTTTTGTAGTGAGAATTTTGGAAAATAAATATATAGACCAAGACAAAAGGCATTGAGAAAATGTCTGCTGTGTATGTGGCATGTGTTTAAATACAAAACATCTAACAATAAATATAGAAAGGGGTTTGACATTCGTTTCCACATATCTTTCTGTGAAAGACGTCAAATATATTGAAGTTTTTCAATAAAAATTAATGGCAGAACACAAAAGATGCTCAGCAGTGAACCCAAGTAGACTCACTTCTGTTTTTTACGTTTTCCAAGTTGTTACACACATTAGATGTATGATAATTTCTTCTCTACTAGGATTGAAGAGTTGCCTTTGTAGTTTTCATCATTCTTCCTGTTGCAGATGCTTCTGTCAGACTTCTCTCATCACCATATTGAAATGGCATGCACCCTGCTGGAGACATGTGGACGGTTTCTTTTCAGATCTCCAGAATCTCACCTGAGGACCAGTGTACTTTTGGTAAGGGCTTGAGGATGCTGGTAAGAGCTAGAGGTTCTTGATTTACCTGTGCTTCAGAGGTTGAAAATATTGACCAGTGCTGGTTATCTTATTCTTTCATATGAATACAAACATTTCTACTTAAAGTGGAACATCCCATACATATGAGTTGCAATCCCTGGAGAGCTGTAGACATTTTTCTCACTTGGCTACCAGCGAGTTCACAGTATTGCAAGGGGTAATTAAGTTCAACCTGTAACACTTTTAACAAATGATGCAGATGAGCAGGCACCCAATACTGTTTTGTTAGAGCCATGTTTATGAATGTTTTTGTTATGTTATGAATGTTTTGGTGCATCTCAAACCATTATTCATGTGTCATGTAAGCACATAAAATGTAAGCTTAAATATATTAAATTTTAAAATTAAGGCCAGGCGCAGTGGCTCACGCCTGTATTCCCAGCACTTACAAAATACCAGCCTTGGCAACATAGTGAGACCTCCTCTCTACAAACACATTTTAGAACTAGCCAGGCGTGGTGATGCTTTCCTGTAGTCCCAACTACTCAGAAGGCTGAGGTGGGAGGATCTCTGGAACTTGGGAGATCAAGGCTGCAGGAGTCATGATCTCGCCACTGCACTCCAGCCTGGGCGGCAGAATGAGACCCTGTCTCGAATGAATGAATGAATGAATGAATGAATACTCACACAGCTAGATAGGAGGGATGATAAAAAGAAATGAAATATAATTACCATCTTCAAAGTGGTTCACCTGTAATGGGTGAGAGTTAACTACGTAATTCTAATACAGTGTCGTAGGTGCTGTAATGGAGGGCTGCAGAGGATACTGTGGGCTCATGGAGGAGGTACTTAAACCAGACTGAGAGTAGCAAAGGTCTCCCCTAATGGCTTGATAGTATTTATGGGGTGTGAACTCTGTGCTAGACCCTTGGAATATAAAATTGGAAGAGTTTCTGCCCTTACGTAGTTTATAGCCTAATAGGACAGTCAGACAAATAAATAGAGAATTGAAATACATTATGGGAAATTAAAAAAAAATACATTATGATTTAATGTATAAGCCTAAGGTATTTTGAGTGTAGGTAGAAGAGGCACCTAATTTACTATATCAGGAAAGGGTTCTTGAAAAAAGCAGTTTTTATTTTAGAGACCTAAGCTGAGTCTTAAAGGCAGAGAAGAGAAACCAGTTGAATAAAACAGCTGCAGGTAAAACTGGAGAGGAGGATAGGCACGCACTAGCTTATAAGGAGCCCAGAGTGCCATGCTAAGGAGCTTGAGTTTTTTTCCTGGTGGCAGTGAATAATTGTTGAAGGATTTTAATTAAGCAGGTAGGGTGGATATGATCAGATTCACGTTTTTAGAAAGATTAGTATGGAGGCGATAACTGCTGAGACCCGAGGTAGAGAGAACAGTCAGAAGGCTGTTTCAGAAACCCAGGGGGACAACAATGCAGAAATGAATCGGGGTATGGATGGTTGGGGAGAGGCTGGAGAATTCTGACTAGCTATATGAAAATTTTTAGGAGGTAGAACTGAGGAGACTTGGTGGTGAGATATAAGGGATGAGGAAGCAGGAAGTACCCTAAGATAAGACTAAAATTCTGCCTTGGGCATCTGAGCAGATGATGGTGCCAGTCACAGATATGAGGGAATAAAGGGGAGGGAACAGATGATGAGTTTGGTTTGAAGCACATCAGTGCTTATGGGATCATCTAAAATGTATTCACATTTATTTGAGAAGACATATAACCTTTTAACTGGTTTGCCTTCAAAATTAGTCTTGGCTAATGTTAAAATTAGTTTGGGGTATGTGTGAGTGTGCGTGTGTGGGGGAAAAGTTTCTAAAGCAGGCCAGCTAACAGGTTGAGACTAATTGAGATTAAAAGCTGGATTATCTGTGTACGAGTGATAAGTTAAATGATGCATTCTATTTTGTCCAAAGAACTTATAGGGTGTGGTCATTAAATCTCTAGCTCTTTTAAACATGGGAGTCTTTTCTTGCCTGTTTGGAAGACTGAATATGTAACAGGCATTCACTAATTATAGTACAGAGATGCGTCAGTATAGGGGCTTAGCTATAGTCAGTGTACTATAGAAATCCTAGGAGACAAGAGAAACAGTTATGAAACTTGGTATACCCACAGTCGAACTTATAAATAGCAAAACTTTCTCCTAGTATATGATGATTTCGCACAGATAGAAAAGCAGTCCATAGGAAAGAGTGAATATGTTTTTAAAAATTCATTCATTTATTCATGCGTTAAATACGAATTGCATGTCTGTCAGGCACTGTTTTAGGTGCTACGTATGTGACAGTGAAAAAGATACAGCCCCCGCCCTCCTTGATCTCACATACACACACAACTTGAAATCCACCACCACCCAGCACCCCAGTCCACAACACCGCTTGAAGCTTGTCAGTGATCTCCCTCTGCACACTTAAACCCAGCCTTCTCACCTTGGTGTGCAGTGCTCTCTATTACCCGGCCCCTCCCTCCTCTTCCCTCTTCTGCTGCTCCCTACTAGGAACACACTGGCCTTCTGTTCGTGCCACATATGCCTTTCTTTCTGCTTGGGCCTCTGCATGCGTGCTCTTCCCGTGGTTCTTCAGCCTTTGTTATCCTTCAGATCCTAGTTTAAATGTCACTTTCTCAGAAAAACCTTCCCTAACCCACTCCAAACTGAAGTAGGTTCTCTGTTGTTTCGGATCTCAGTACTTATTGTTCATGCTACTGTTGCAATTATTATTGAAAAGAATAGTAGTTGATTTATTTGTTGATTTTATTCTGTCTTCTGACACAAGACTGTTAAGTTTCTTGTAAGTAGGAATCATGTCTGTCCTGTTCACTGGTGAGTTTCCCGCACCTGCCATAGTGCATAACACTAATAAGTACCAAGTAATTTTTTTTTTTTTTTTTTTGAGACAGGGTCTCCCGCTGTTGCCCAGGCTGGAGTGCAGTGGTGTGATTATAGCTCACTGCAGCCTCCAACTCCTGGGCTCAAGTGATCCTTCCACGTCAGCCTCCCAAATAGCCGGGACTATGGATGCACACCACTATGCCTGGCTAATTTTTTTATTTTATAGAGACAGGGTCTCACTACGTTGCTAGGACTGCTCTCGAACTCCCGGCCTCAAGTGATCCTCTTGTCTTGGCCTCCCAAAGTGTTGGGATTACAGGCATGAGCCAGTGCACCTGGCTACTTTCCTTTCTTTCTTTCTTATTTTTTTTTTTTATTAAGAGATAAGGTCTTAAGCTTGTCTTCCAGGCTGGAGTGCAGTGGCATGATCATAGCTCACTGCGGCCTTGAACTCCTGGGTTCAGGCAGTCCTCAAGCAGTCCTTTCACCTCAGCTTCCTGAGTAGCTGGGATGACAGCGCATACTACCGTGCCTGGGTAATTTTTTACTTTATTTTTCTTTTATTCTGTTATTTTTTATTTTAGAGGTGGGGTCTCACTCCATCACCCAGGCTGGAGTGCAGTGACATGATCAAAGCTTACTGTAGCCTCGAGCTTCTGGGCTCACGTGATCCTCCTGCTTCAGCTTCCCGAGTAGCTGGGACTACAGGTACCTACCACTGTGCCCAGCTATTTATTTTATTTTATTTTACTTTATTTTATTTTAATGTAGAGATGGGGTCTCACTTTGTTGCCCAGGCTAGTCTCAAACTCCTGATCTCAAGGGACTCTCTCACCTCAGCTTCCCGAGTTGCTAGGATTATAGGCTTGAGCCCCTGCGCCCAGCAGATGTTTTTAAAATGACTTAATTATTCAGTAATCTTAATGCTTGGTATGATGCTGTTTTAAGAATTAGGAGTGCTGTTTAAAGATCTTCAACTTGTCAGTGGTTCTCCACTGGCATCTAGTGGGTAGAGGCCAGAGTGGCTGTAAAACATTCCACAAGGCACAGAATAATCCCCCACAACAAATTATCCAATTCGAAATGTCAGTAGTGCTGAGGCTGAGAAACCATGAAGTAGACGGTGAGTGACTAGATCTGTATTTGTTAGTTACCTCTTCTGAGCTGATACTGAGCAACCCTAGACACAAAGTTATGAAAGAAGTTACCTTGGTAGTAAAGTTCTCTAGTATTTTATTGGATGAAACGTAAGGCTAAGTAGGCACGGGCTAGTATGTTCTAAAAATGATAAGTAGTATAACAGTTAGTATGCTTACATGCTCTTTGATATGCCTGTTGATTGTTTTTGTCTCACCACCCCCACCTCTCTGTGTGTTTTTGTTTTGTTTTTTTTAAGAGACAGGGTCTTGCTGTTGCCCAGGCTGGAGTGCAGTGCCAGTCATGGCTTACTGCAGCCTCCACCTCCTGGGCTCAAGCTGTCCACCCACCTCAACCTCCCAAGTAGCTGGGACTACAGGTGTGCGCCACCACACCTGGCTAATTTTTGTATCTTTTGTAGAGATGGGGTTTCATCATGTTGCCCAAGCTGGTCTTGAACTCCTGGATTCAAGTGATCCTGCAATCTCAGTCTCCCAAAGTGCTGGGATTATAGGTGTGAGCCACAGTGCCCAGTCCTTTCTTTGCCTTTCTAACCCATTACTTTGAAATAGCAAATCACTGAGAATAGAAGTTTAGTTAGGAGTAAAGGAATCTTAGAAGGAACGTGTTTTGATTAATTTGGACTTTTTATTTCAGGAGCAAATGATGAGAAAGAAGCAAGCAATGCATCTTGATGCGAGATACGTCACAATGGTAGAGAATGCATATTACTACTGCAACCCACCTCCAGCTGAAAAAACCGTGAAAAAGAAACGTCCTCCTCTCCAGGAATATGTCCGGAAACTTTTGTACAAGGATCTCTCTAAGGTTACCACCGAGAAGGTAAATCTTATGAAATCATGCAGTTAATAGTTAACGTGAGATTTGTGGTAGTGCTAAGCTTATGTAGAGTCTAGGAGAAGTGGGGGTAGAGCTCAAGTTCCTTTATAATCAGCTCTGTGTAAGTCACCCTAAGAAGGAATTCTTATGATGATATATAATATTTGGGACATAGGTTTTGTTTTCCTTTTATGATAACTTTTTGTTTTAATTGAAATAGTAACTCTAGTAAATTTTGATTTTATGTATATATTTGAAATTATTACTTTCTCTCTGGTATTCCATAACAAATTTGTACTTAAATATTATTTTGCATCAGTACACAGGATCCTAACCTTTAGTAGACGTTATAAGAGGCCCATGATCCCTCTGAAATTTCGTAATTTTGAACGTCTCTGGCTATTTGTATTTTTCTGGAAACAGGGTCTGCAGCTTTCTTTAGATTCTCAACAGGGGTTAATTTCCAGTGAAGGTAAAGAATCACTGACCTATTATCTTAATAATTGTAGTTACCATGTTAGAAACTTTGCTTTTAAGTAAGATATGTTGAACAAAACATTTCTTGGTGAACTCTACACTTGACATATAATACAGGGTAGAATTTTTTTCCTTTTAGGATGGAAGGTGATAAGGAATGATGTTGCAGGTTTGAAAATTGAAACCAGCTTCCTCAGTCAGAGGCAGTAGTTGTTTCAAATAGTTTTGGAATTGGCTAAAAGTTTGAAAAGTATAGAATGGCTAAACGAGTTCTCATACCAGCTTCGTTGGAAATGTCAGAATCATGTTTAGTGTTTGAAAGATGAATTGTGGATGATAATAAAGAGTAGAGATGAAAGGCTTACTTTGCAATTGGCTAATAGTATCCATTTTATATAAGGAGAAAAATGGAAAGACTTTGATTATGGTTTAGAGCTCTGCTGATCATCTTGCTATAGTAGAGGCTTTGAAATAGTAATTGCTAACTTTTTAAAAAAATTTAATGTAATAGAGATGGGGTCTTGCTATGTTCCACAGGCTGGTCTCGAACTCCTGGGCTCAAGCAATCCTCCTCCTGCCTCAGCCTCCCAAAGTGTTGGGATTACAGGTGTGAGCCACTGCACCTGGCCACTAACATTTTTATAATGTGCCAGACACTTTCCTATGTACTTCACATATTTTTAACTTGTCTAGTCTTTACCATAAACTAGGAAGTAAGTACTTTTTTGTTATCCCCCGTTTTACACATGAGGAAATTGAGGTTGTCGTACAGCCTCAGTCTTGATACAGTGTCCTCCACCTTAAGGGATCTTTTAGCCAGTTGACTTTGGGTTTATTTATTTGTTGGAAATTAATGATTTTATTTTTTAAGTGAGATTATTAGCTGGCATAGTGGCTCATGCCTATGAGCCAACACTTTGGGAGGCCGAGGTGGGCAGATCACTTGAGGCCGGGAATTCGAGACTAGCCTGGCCAACATGGCGAAACCCTCATTTCTACCAAAAATACAAAAATTAGCTGAGTGTGTTGGCGCATGCCTGTAATCCCAGCTACTTGGGAGGCTGAGGTATGAGAATTGCTTGAACCCTGGAGGCGGAGGGTTGTAGTGAGCTGAGATCATGCCACTGCACTCCAGCCTGGATGACAGAGCGAGACTCCATCTCAAGAAAAAAAGAAAGAAAGAAAGTGAGATTATTTATGTCAAATTATGCACCAAAGAGAGCATGTTATTTTTCATAAACCTTGGGTTTTTGTTTTTGTTTTTGTTTGAGATGGAGTCTCGCTCTGTCACCCAGGCTGGAGTGCAGTGGTGGAGTCTCGGCTCACGGCAACCTCTGCCTCCCGGGTTCAAGTGATTCTCTTGCCTCAGCAACCCTAGTAGCTGGGATTGCAGTTGCCCACCACTGTGCTTGGCTAATTTTTGTATTTTCAGTAGAGATGGGGTTTTGCCATGTTGGCCAGGCTAGTCTCGAACTCCTGACCTCAGATTATCCACCCACCTTGGCCTCACAAAGTGCTGGGATTACAAGCGTGAGCCACAGCACCTGGCCCGTTTTTGTTTTTAAAGACCTACTCCATACTGGGCATGGTGGCTCATGCCTGTAATCCCAGCACTTTGGGAGGCCAAGGCACAGGGATTACTTGACGTCGGCGTTGGAGGCCAGCCTGGGCAACATAGGAAGATCTCGCCTCTACAAAAAATATAAAAATTAGCCAGGCATGCTATTGCATGCCTGTAGTCCAGTCTATTTGGGGGACTGAGGTGGGAGGATTGCTTGAGCCATGGAGGAGGAGGTTGCAGTGAGTCAAGATTGCGCTACTGCACTCCAGCCTGGGTGACAGAGTGAGACTGTGTCTGGGGGGGAAAAAGAAACCTACTCCAAACTCCTGATTGGATATTTATTTTAATGACCTGAGAACAGTCACCTAGATTGAAGACCTGAAAACTCTAGAAAATTTGAGAGCACTATGGAAGGATTTAGGAAAGATGATAATACATTTTATTGTAATTAGAAAGTCTCAGTTTTTCTATTTCTGAAGAGGCCGATAGAGGATTTCTAATGTATTTTCTATTTCAAAAGTTCTCTGCGCAATCATAGCAAAATTTCTGTATTATTTGGTCAGGCTACTGTGTACTTATCTTAATAATTTGAACAAAATTCTCTTTTTTTAGGTTTTGAGACAGATGCGAAAGCTGCCCTGGCAGGACCAAGAAGTGAAAGACTATGTTATTTGTTGTATGATAAACATCTGGAATGTGAAATATAATAGTATTCATTGTGTAGCCAACCTCTTAGCAGGACTAGTGCTCTACCAAGAGGATGTTGGGATCCACGTTGTGGATGGAGTGTTAGAAGATATTCGATTAGGAATGGAGGTAAACAAGACTTCCTTTAATGTCACACAACTGGAATTCGTGGAGAATTTATTATTTCTAGGTTACTATTGAGACTCAAGTTATAGGAATCTGTAAATTTATTAGTTAGAAAAAGCTGATAATCATTTTATAAGAATTTCCTGTAAACACTTTCCTCTTTTTTTTTTTTTTTTGAGACTGAGTCTCGCTGTGTCACCCAGGCTGGAGTGCACTGGCACGATCTCCGCTCGCTGCAACCTCTTCCTCCTGGGTTCAAGCAATTCTCCTGTTTCAACTTCCCGAGTAGCTGGGACTACTACAGGTGCATGCCACCACGCCTAGCTAATTTTTTTGTATTTTTAGTAGAGACGGGGTTTTGCCATGTCGGCCAGGCTGGTCTCAAACTCCTGACCGTAGGTGATCACCTGTCTTGGCCTCCCAAAATGCTGGGATTACAGGCGTGAGCTACTGCGCCCGGCCTAACAGTTTCCTCTTACTGTAAAACCCAGATTTATTGTTTCCTTAATTCACTGATGGCAGAGAAAATAGGTTAAGGGTAGAATTACATTTTAACTGTTTTAGAAACAATTCATGTAATGATAGCTAAATTTAATACCTAACATGTTCTTTTTATGAAAACACTTTAAAGATAGCCATTTCCTAGAGAGAGAAAAGGACACCTAGAAGTAACCAGTTTATTAGAAAAGATCTGTCATTTCTCTATTCAGTGTTCTTTCAGTAATAGATATTTTCAAGTTACAGAGACAAGTTTAACCTGTTTTCATATACACTACTCCTCTTTAATGAAAATCTGTGGTTTTGTTGCCTTTTAGGTTAATCAACCTAAATTTAATCAGAGGCGCATCAGCAGTGCCAAGTTCTTAGGAGAACTTTACAATTACCGAATGGTGGAATCAGCTGTTATTTTCAGAACTCTGTATTCTTTTACCTCATTTGGTGTTAATCCTGATGGCTCTCCAAGTTCCCTGGACCCACCTGAGCATCTTTTCAGAATTAGACTCGTATGCACTATTCTGGACACATGTGGCCAGTACTTTGACAGAGGTTCCAGTAAACGAAAACTTGATTGTTTCCTTGTATATTTTCAGGTATATAAGCTGAAATATTCAGTTTGGCATCATTTAACATATTGCATGTGTTTTAAAAGAATACTATGAGAGAAGAAACGTTATGGTATTCATATATTATATATATGTTCATAATTAGATTATATTCTTCATATAAGAATGCTTTTGGAAATTTAAAGATATATGATGGATTCTATTGTATGAACATTCTCATTGCATATAACTTTTATGATTGATAATGATTGGTCATTAATTTTGGGAGTTGTTTTCATACAGTTTATAAATTTGGTTCAGTAATTTATGGACCGTGATATTTAATACAGTAATTTATTGATTAAATTACTTGTGATTTGTAATACATTTGTTAATGTTCTCTTCTCACTCATGTATATTCTGGTTTACATCTCAAATTCTTGTTTCTTTCTTTTTTTTTTTTTTAAATAGAAATGGGGTCTTGCTATGTTGGCCAGGTTGGTCTTGCACTCCTAGCCTCAAGTAAACCTCCCGCGTCAGCCTCCCAAAGTGTTAGGATTACAGGCATGAACCATCGCGCCCAGCCCAAATTCTTGTTTCTAAAAGATATATATATGTATATATATATATATATATTTTTTTTTTTGAGAGTAAGTCTTGCTGTGTCATCCAGGCTGGAGTGCAGTGGTGCAATCTCAGCTCACTGCAGCCTCCACCTCTCAGGTTCAAGCAATTCTCCTGCCTCAGCCTCCAGAGTACCTGGGATTACAGGTGTACTCCACCACACCCGGCTAATTTTTGTATTTTTGGTAGAGAGGGGGTTTCACCATGTTGGTTAGGCTGGTCTTGAACTCCTGACCTCAGGTGATCTGCCCACCTCGGCCTCCCAACGTTCTGGGATTAACAGGCGTGAGTCACTGTGCCCAGCCTAATTTTTTTTTAAAAAAAGAAAACCTATCATTTTTGAGGAAAATGTGTTATTTTTAATACAGTAAGAATATTTGTTCATTTATTTGTAAATTCTTGGGTTGTGTTTTCCATATCTTAATGTTGGGTTATTATATAAACTTGTGATTTAGACCAAGCACAATATAAATTAAATTCATATACAAATACAGGGACAGTACTACAACCTCTATAAAGTTTGTATTTCAGAGGTTAACTTATAGGTTGATTAGTTGGAGCCCAATTACTATTTCCCATAAAATACAATTTTCTAAGTGCCAATTAGGGTGAACAACTCACTATCAAGTGCTTTAAGTTTTACTAAGTGGTGATAGTACCATTCGATTCTATATAATCACAATTGTTAGTATTTTCATTTACCCATTATGAAGAAAATAAGTTTAATGTAACTTGAAGTATCAAAAATACATCCACATGGTGGCGTGTGTTAAGTTGGGGGTAAATATTCTTCGGGAATTGCGGTCTGTTAGCTTGCTCCTACCGCTATTCTTTTGCAGTAGAGGGAAACCTATTACTCCCTTACTTTCTGAATTGATGAGCAAAAAGTGGGGAAAAGGACTTGCAGATTTGAGGGTTGCAGTCCCTGTTGTATGTAAGGACCATCTTAAGTTGGATACTGTATTAAAAGCCAGAGTTTTGCTGCAAAATGGCAGCTATAACAGCATCCAAAGTAGAATCTCTCTCAGAAGAGAATCCTTTCGATTCACTCTGACATCTTAGGCTGAGAGAAAAGAAACACTCAGAAATATTCAGGAGCCAAAAGAGACAAAAATATTTTCCAAACTGATTAACAGACAAAAATGTGTAACAGAGCCATACCTAGGAATTGGAGTCAGAAGTGAGTGAGGCCTGGGTGATGAGGTCTGTGTGTTTCACCCAGAACATGGAGTGTACAGTTTAGTATTAGAAGGTCAGGAAGAAAGGATCCCCTGGAGCAGTGCTTTTAAACTTTCCTGTGCATCCATGTCCCCTGGGGACTTTGTAAAGATGCAGATTCTGATTCAGTTGACCTAGGGGGAGGCCTGAGATTCTACATTTCTAAGAAGCTCCCAGATGAGGTCCACACTTGGAGTAGCAAGGACCTGGAACAAACTGGAGAGGAAGAGTAAAACTCCCAGAGGAATACCTGTTCATATACTAGTAAATTCTTGGGTTGTGCTTTCAGTTAATGTAAATTTAGGAATTAAAACAAGTATAAAATAGAATGTGGGAACCAGGCTTGGAGTAGAGAGGGAAAATATCCACACCATGCCATATACACAGTAGATATTCAATAAATGCTTGTTGATGATTAGTGATTTTTATATATTTCAAAAACCGTATTTTCAGATACTTTAACTCTTCAAAAATCAAAGCAAGTAGCACAGAGAAAATAATGAACATTATCACAACGATGGCTTTGAATTTGGTTAAATTTGTAAAATTAAATATAGGAAATCAGTGCCTTGTTTTGGAGTACCTAAAAATTTATTTGGTATTTTATTTATAATATTTCCTTGCCTTAAAAAAACTGTGACAGTTATAATAAAAAGATATCTAGGGCCGGGCGCAGTGGCTCACACCTGTAATCCCAGCACTTTGGGAGGCCAAGGCGGGCGGATCACGAGGTCAGGAGATTGAGAACATCCTGGCTAACACAGTGAAACCCCGTCTCCACTAAAAATATTAAAAAGTAGCCGGGCGTGGTGGCATGCACCTGTAGTCCCAGCTGCTCGGGAGGCTGAGGCAGGAGAATGGCGTGAACCTGGGAGGCGGAGCTTGCAGTGAGCTGAGATGGCGCCACTGCACTCCAGACTGGGTGACAGAGCGAGACTCCATCTCAAAAAAAAAAAAAAAAAAAAAAAGATATTTAGTAAATTCACCAAATAGCTCAAGACCTGTATAGACAGAGGGAAATGATTGGAATAGGATCATTGCTGTTGACCATTAATAGAAATGGTAAGTGTCTTTTATAACCTTTCAGCTTAGTAGTTATAACTGGGAAACAGCACAATATAGTTTATTATTTTAAAATATTTTGTTACTAATTTCTTATAGCTAAATTTATTTTTCATTTGTTATCAGCGTTATGTTTGGTGGAAGAAAAGTTTGGAGGTTTGGACAAAAGACCATCCATTTCCTATTGATATAGATTACATGATCAGTGATACACTAGAACTGCTAAGACCAAAGATCAAACTCTGTAATTCTCTGGAAGAATCCATCAGGCAGGTACAAGACTTGGAACGAGAATTCTTAATAAAACTAGGTAAGCAATTGATTGCAGACAGAAAATGAAGGTGATATTTGGCAGATTATTTCTGGAATTTGCTTTATAATGTTACCAGTCAGAGCTTACATTGTATCTTTTCTATTTTCGGTGTTGAGTGTTACGTAGTAGTGTTAGGTAATGCCTGTGTGGTGTGCTTGATTTCACTAAGTAATTTCAAACCGGAGGACAACAGTTAAGCAGGACTTGCAGGACAGGACTTGAAGCAGGTGACAGTGATGGGGGAAAAAAAACCCACAATCCTGTCTACCTCTCTTACTTTTAGAATTTTTGGTTGCTAATATAAAATCTATTTTTTATTAAAGCATTTCTTATTTTTGCGTATATATTTTCAACAGGCATTATTTCCTAGAAAGTGCAAGCAAAGAAACTGTAGAAGGGAGTACCTGTCAGAAGTTTGGAACTCTACCCTACAGGATTTCAGAGCTTACCCACTGGCAGAGTTGCTTCTGTCTCTAAGGACTAGAGAAAATCTAGAGATAATTAGAAGGTTCTCTATATACTTTAGTATCCTGAGGTTGTTTTGGGGAGAAGAGTTAACTCTTGAACAGCTTCCACTAGAGCTGCAGGAACCTATATGTCTTTAGAAATAACCAGTACAAAGTATAGCCATACCAATCTGGTTTATATGCTGATAGTTCTTAGCATGTTTTATTGTAGTCATTTTAAAGTGACACGTTTTGGCCAGGTGTGGTGGTTCACACTTGTAATCCCAGCACTTTGGGAGGCCGAGGCAGGCAGATCACCTGAGGTCAGGAGTTTGAGACCAGCCTGGCCAACATGGCAAAACCCCATCTCTACTAAAAATACAAAAATTATCCAGGAATGTTGGCGCACACCTGTAATCCCAGCTACTCAGGAGGCTGAGGCAGGAGAATCGCTTGAACCCGGGAGACGGAGGTTGGAGTGAGCCAAGATCACGCCATTGCACTACAGCCTGGGTAACAAGAGCGAAACTCCATCTCAAAAAAATAAAGTAAATAAATAAAAAGTGACCCGTTTTCAGACTATTAAGCTAGTGTTTGATTTCCCACTAGAACTTGGTACATTCATGTCTGTCATTAAGGGATCTTTACTTTCGCCAGTTATGCAAATTATATAAATTTACGACATCGCATATCTGAAGAACCACTTTTCATGGTAAAGGTTTTACAAGTGCTGCTACTGATTGTGCAAGTATTAACTTTTCCTACAACTTAACCCGTAAAGGCATATATGATTCTTTTTGTTCTTTGAACCTTTTTCCAAGTTACCTACTTTCTTTTCCTTTTGAAATTTCTAATTGAATACATGATCTCATATTGAGCAGAGTATTTATGAACTTATTTCACTTGCTTTGGATCCTTGGAAAATTGTTAAGTCTTAGCCTTGTTTCCCAAAAACCTGCATGAATGGTATTCTCTGTATAGTGGACATGAGTAAATATTAGTGTGACACCTAGTTTAGTGACAGAAAAGAGAACAGTTGTGCTTTGTCCTTTGTAGATCAAAAGGCTAAATTAAAGGACTGCAGGCTTCTTGTGAGGACTTTGTCCTTGTTTAGAATATGGAGGTAAAAATAGATCGCTGTTTGTGAATGAAACTCTAAAGATGGTAGCGGCCGCAATCAGTGCACTCCCAAGTCTCCATTTGCTTCCTGGTTGAGGAAGAAGACGTATGCAGAAAAATCAATATTAAATCCGTTTCCTACTGATAAACCAAAAGATAATACAGTATTGTGCCTTTGGTAGTTTTTTGTTTTCAGACACCTGAAAATTCATTGTCTCATGTTAGTTTTATAGTATCCCAATGTTAACATAATAGTTAATTGGAAAACACTAAAACCATTTTTATCATATTTTAAAAATAACTTTTAATAGTATTAAAAGTAATGTGTTCATGACAGTAATTTTTAAAAAACCAAGAAAGCAATACCAATATTCCATACAGAAAGATAATCGTGTTAATATTTTAATACATATTTTTCTACTCTTTTTAAATTTTTTTTGTGTTTGTGATTTTCTAACCAATTGGTTCTACTTAATACATTATGAAATTTTTTCTTGACATTACACATATTCTCTTAAAGCTTTATTTTTTGTTTTGTAATTGGCTGTATTCATTTGTATCTATGTGCCATAATTTACTTAATACAGCTGTTTCACTCTTAGGTTGATTCTAGTTTTATACCACTGTAAATAATATTTTTAGTGTACCTGTGATTTTCTCAGGATAGATAGGATTACTGGCTCAGATTTTTATTTTAATTTAAGAACAAAACTAAAATGGTAATTGGCAATGTTATTTAATTCTGGTTTGGAAGTGTTCAAAGCAGTATTCATGAAATGAGAGGGTTAAATCACATCATCGCTAAAGTTTCTTCCTGCTTGAATCCTCTAAGATTCTATGCATGAACAGGTATTTATTTAACACCTACTGTGTATTTATTAATATATGGGCTGTCTTAAGTTTTGAACATTTAAGACAAGTTCTTTGTCCTCAGGGGTCTTATAATCTGATGTAATATTTATGAGATCGTTAGGAAAAAATAACAACATGCTATATCATCAAATGTAAGATGCTGTAAGTTCTCCACATGCTTTAGGAGCAAATAGGAGAAAAAGTAATAGATTGAAGTACTCATTGACAGTTCATGCAGGAAGTAAAACTGAAACTGAACATGAAGAGTGGATGGGATTTGAAAGTGCATATTGAAGGGTATTCTCTATTGAGAAGGATATTGGGCAAGCAAGATTTCAAAGCAGTGTGTTCTGTGACAGGAGACGTCTAAGGCAACTTCAGGGGAGGGCTTAGGAGAGAGGAGTGGGTAGCAGATCAGTGGGATCAGATGAGACCACATTGTGTGCATATCAAAAGTAGAGAGGGTGGATTGGAATTCCAACAGGAAGAAGAATTGACTGGGCAGTGAAATGTGGGATGGACACAGGAGGTGAAAGCAAATTCAGGCCAGGGAGTTCCATTAGGCTTAGGAGGAGAATGCTGTTATTGAAGAAAAAAAATTAGTCTGTATGGTGACAAAGCTGCTATGGCGTTTTGCCCCATTCCCCCGTCTTAATTTGCATACATTCAAATTGATAGCCACATATGATTTCTCCATTAAAGTGGCACGATTTTTTTCATGTCTTTTGAGTTTTTGGAGACTCTTTAAATCTCACTTGGTAAAGAGTGTGGCCAACGCTGTATCTTACATATGGCTGAGACTGTACCTCATCTGTTACTGTTTTCTACCTTTGTCCAAGACTGAGATATACAAGATTATCCAAGTATTTAAAGCTGTAAGAAAAGAGGGAAAAGTATACACACACATACACTTATTTTTTCTCGCTTTTTGTTAGTTGTGTTTATTTGTTGAAATGTAGGCCTACACATTTAGTTTTTTAAATGTTTCTCACCGTAGTTTTTAATTCTTTTACCTTTGTTCTGAGAAAATGGCTGTTGAATTCTTAATGCATACTTTTACATGAATTGGTATAGTGTAGAAAACTAGCCTGTGTCTATTTTTAATGTATTTTTCCATTTCCACCTTCTCATTTCAAGGCCTAGTAAATGACAAAGACTCAAAAGATTCTATGACAGAAGGAGAAAATCTTGAAGAGGATGAAGAAGAAGAAGAAGGTGGGGCTGAAACAGAAGAACAATCTGGAAATGAAAGTGAAGTAAATGAGCCAGAAGAAGAGGTGATGACTTTTATATGTAGCAACATAGAGTACATTTGTATAAGAGTATTTTGATTATATGAGCCAAAATTTTTTTAATACATAAGACCTCCTCCTGGTTTTTTTTTTTTTTTTTTTTTTTGAGACAGAGTCTTGCTCTGTCGCCCAAGTTGGAGTGCTGTGGCACAATCTCGGCTCACTGCAACCTCTGCCTCCTGGGTTCAAGTGATTCTCCTGCCTCAGCCTCCCGAGTAGCTGAGATAACAAGCACTCGCCACCACGCCCAGCTAATTTTTGTATTTTTAGTAGAGATGGGGTTTCACCATGTTGGCCAGGCTGGTCTTGAACCCCTGACTTCAGGTGATCTGCCCCTCTCAGCCTCCCAAAGTGCTGGAATTGCAGGCATGAGCCACCGCACCTGGCCTCCTCCTTAGTTTTATTATAGTAAATGTAACTAGTAGTATGTTTTTATCATAAAACCCCTTGTTTAATTAAAAGTTTTTAAAGAAAGTAATAAAATACTGATTATAGCATTTTTATTTAATAAGCAATTTAAAGAAAAAATTGATCTCCACATGTCTTTTTTTTTTTTTTTTTTTTTTTGAGACAAGGTTTCTCTCTGTTGCCAAGGCTGGAGTGGAGTGGTGTGATCATAGTTCACTGCAGCCTCAACCTCTTGGGCTCAAGCAATCCTCCCACCTCAGCCTCCTCAGTAGCTGAGACCGTGTGGACGTGCTACCATGCCCAGCTAATTATTTTGGGGTTTTTTTGTAGAGATGGGGATCTTGCTATATTGCCCAGGCTGGTCTCAAACTCCTGGGTTCAAGCAGTCCTCCTCCCTCAGCCTTTCAAAGAGCTGGGATTATGGGTGTGAGCCATTGCACCCCACTTCTTGTGTATCTTAATCTCGCTGTTGAATATGGACTTTTTAGTCAGTGGATTTTATACTCTTCAAAACAAAATTACTGGCTAGATATTAATGAGCTTTGCTTTATTTTTCCCAGATCTCATGGTTATATGAAATCTGAAATTCAACATATACGATAGTAATTGATACACCCTTTTTGTATCTATGACTATTAAGTTAAACCATATGAAATTGTTCTTGTACTGTTTCTGACTTAGCAAAATGTCATTTCTGTGTGATTAAAACTAGCAGTTTTAATTCTTTGGGTTTTGTTGATGTTGTTTGAGACAGCCTTCACTGTCGCCCATGCTGGAGTGCAGTGGCATGATCTCGGCTCACCGTAGTCTCCACCTCCGTAGTTCAAGTGATTCTTGTGCCTCAGCTTCCCAAGTAGCTAGGATTTTAGGTGTGTGCCACCATGCCCAGCTAATTTTTGTATTTTTAGTAGAGATGGGGTTTCACCATGTTGGCCAACCTAATCTCGAACTCCTGGCCTCAAGTGATCCCCCCACCTTGGCCTTCCAAAATGCTGGGAGTACAGGCGTGAGCCGCATTTGGCCCATGATTCTTCAGTTTTTTCTTCCAAACTCACTTACGTTTAAATGTTCCATGAAGCTGTGCACATCTATAGTACCAGCTACTCGGGAGGCTGAGGTGGGAGGATTGCTTGAGCCCAGGAATTCATGTCCAGCCTGGACAACATAGTGAGACCCTGTTTCTTTAAATTGAAAAAAAAAGTCGATCAAAATAAAAGGATGTCTGAGATTTGCTTTATAATCTCGAGGTAGATTGGGGAATGGGTTAGGGGTATAGAAGAAACAAAACGAGAGTTTAAAAAGTTAGAGTGAGTAAAGATACGAATAGAATACTGATGAAATTAAAATTTAAGTCATGAAATTAGCAGTTTTTCACTGGAAGTATGATTTTAATTAAATATTGAAAGAAGTTTAAATTTGCAGTCAATACTTAAGTGTTTTGGGGAAATTTAATTTCACTTTTAAAGTTTTTATTTGAGTAAATGGGATGTAAATATTTTGAGAATGTTGGTTTAATATTTAAAGGAATGTTAATTGTTTATGACATTCATAAGATAGATTTGCAAACTGGATTTTTAAAAAGCTTTATTTAGAATTAAAGAGAAAGGACTCATAATTTAAGGTGATTAAAGTTTTCTACGGTCAGATGTAAAAATCCATAAGGCTGTGTTTCCTTTAGCCCTAAAGCTTTGTAACTTATTGGAAATTTGGAATGGTTTAACTGCATAACAAATTGCTTTGCTATTAGTTAAAAAGGATTGGTTGTGAAAAGACAGTATAGGCAATAATGTATGGTTTTCCTAATTGGCTAGTATTTATAGGCAGTGGAAATGCACCATTAAGTATTTATGTTATTTGCTACCACTTTTTCTTGACAACCTTAGAACTTCCTTAGATATAAATAAGTTAGTAAAAATTTAGAACTGGAATATGTTTCTTTAATTGGCTTCAGTATACTAGATGAACATTATATTGCTTTGTTTTCAAAATGAGGTTGTAATAGAAACATTCAGTAATAGAATTCAAGTTGACTCATTAAGTATTTTATAACAACAAAGGGAAATGAGAAACTATTTCCATTTCATATTTTCAGACTAATCTTATGGTTGTCTTGGATTTGGCTACTGTACTAATTACATGAGCAGTATCTAATAAATCCAGCATTGTTGGTAAATATGATATTGAGGAGGGCTCATTTTCTTATTAATTTCTCATTTGAAGAGTTCTGATATGTTTCCTCCTCTAAGTGCATTTTCTCCTTTTTAAACATGAACTTTATAATTTTGATAGTTATATCATTTGTAACTATTACTTACTTTTCCAGTTGGAGAATGCATGTTGCACAGGATACATGTGTGTTTGCTACATAAAAATGCAAGCAAAATGTGCAGAGGGAGGTTCCAAGTGCTTGTGTGTGGGAGAAGTGAACTGGGACTCTGGTTCACTTTGTGAGAAATTAGGTTGGAATAGTTCACTTCTCCTTTCACCCCAAGACCAGTTTCCTATGACCGCCCTCCAAACATAAGGAGGAGAAATTTATTAAAGAAAGATGCATTGATTATGAAGTAATAAGAGCAATGGATATTCTACAGTTATTTACTTTGAGACAGAAGGGTTAGAATTCAGCTCTTAAAAACAAATGCTGTGTTCTATTTTTATCTTGGTCTTCAGCTGTTTAAAGTTCTATTTGACATTTTGAAGAGTGGGGGTGACTTTGAGCACCTAACAACCTGAACATTTTCTCTTAAATGTCAGCTCTATAAGTTAAAGATAACTGTTTAAATTAAATGTTCTTCCGTGATAACTCCAATATTCTCTAGCATTATGTAATTTATCAACAGAAAGTGCAAGATTCATTCTTATAATAGCAGTAATAGTTATTTACTGAGCATTTATTGTTCATGGTTACTGCCCTAAGGGCTGTATTTGTATTACCATTTCTCATACTACCCTTGCAGTAGGTGGGAAACAAAGGCACAGATAGGTTGAATAATTTGCCCAAGATCATAGAGCAGGTGATGGCAGAGCCGGTATTTGAACTCAGGCAGTTTGCCTTTTGCGACACTGTTCCTCTTGCTTTCCCTAGCCTGCTTAGGTTTTGTGGTCCATTGATGAGCACTTCTTAATTCCACCCATTATTATATCAGTGTACACTGGGATAGGACAAATGAAATTCTTGTTCAAAATCTTAATTTGAAAAATTAATGCATGCTACATTCCCTGAGTAATATGAAACGTAAAGGATGGAGAGAGGGGAAAAGTTAATGTATTTTAGCTTAGTTTATGAATGGGAAGTGTCTTTTAAGTGTTGAGAAAGGATTCATTTTTTCAAGAGCAAATTTAAGAGTACCTCTATTGCAAATTTAATTTTGAATTATAAAATTAATTCAGAAAACATTAATGCATTTGGGGGGAAAAGGTAATGTATTGGTGTACATTTTTCTTTTTGGTGGGGGATGGAGTCTCGCTCTGTCACCCAGGCCGGAGTGCAGTGGTACAACCTTGGCTCACTGCAACCTCTGCCTCCCAGATTCCAGTGATTCTCCTGCCTCAGACTCCTGAGTAGCTGGGATTACAGGTGCCTGCCACCACGTCTGGCCAATTTTTGTATTTTTAGTAGAGACGGGGTTTCGCCATGTTGGCCAGGCTGGTCTTGAACTCCTGACAAGTGATCCCCTGACCTCAGCCTTCCAAAGTGTTGGGATTACAGGTGTGAGCCATGGCGCCGACCATTGGTATACGTTTTTGAAACGTTTTCATTTTAAGAACTCAGAATCTTCAGCTGTGTATACACTGTTGGGGTTTTGGAATTAATTGCTACATACACTAAAGATAATGTAACACATTTAAGTATTTGTTTCAGGAATTATTTCTCAGCCATCATGGCACAGTGAGAGGCAGCTCTGGGTTTAGTGGGTTTTTGGTTTTTTTTTTTTGTTTGTTTTTTGTTTTTTTTACTCTTAAGGAACCATGCGGGGGTGACTTGGGATACTGGGGTGGAGGGGTAAATGAAGCTCCACTCTGTGCTTTGTGCCCTTTGAAAATCTCTCGGTGCTCTGCCCCATCTTCTGTTTGACAAGAAATTTCAGCTGATCGAAGTGGAGGGAGGCAGGGACTGACTGTGAGGATGGGGTGAAGTAGTCCTTGAAAACCACCAGTTAGGGGAGCTGAAAGGCCAGGTCTTCTGCTTAACAGCAGTGTGCCCTTGGGCAGATCACTTAACTTTTCTGAGCCTCAGTTTTTTCATGTGTAAAATAGGAACAATAAAGCTTGTCCTTCCATCCTCAGACTTGGGTAGAGCAAACAAAATGAAGTGTATGAGAACACCTTCCAAATCGAAGTGCTTTGTAAAAGGTAATGCTGTATCACTGCTTTCAGCTGGTAATGCTGTTACATTTGAACTTTTGTTGGTTTCCATTGCAGTTAGATGGGTATTAAAGAACTACTGTGAGACATTCAGCCTCTCCAGATTTGTTTCAGGAGGAGGAGAACACAAAAGGCTCAGGAAACTTCTTCATTGTGGAATTCAAGAAAGAGCTTCTACAATAGATCTCTGTATTGTTAGATCAGTTGAAGGTAGTGAGATGGGTTTTCAACTACTGATTTGTCTTAAACGTTGCTAGCTGACTTTGCCCTCCCATTGGAAACCAACTACCTAAAGAGCTAAAACTTGAGAATAATAAACAATTATACAGAAGTTTTGAAATCTTTTTAAGGCATGTAAAATATGGTTACACTTCGAAAAGTTATTTAATCTTCTAATGTTCAATAATTTCAGGAGGGTTCTGATAATGATGATGATGAGGGAGAAGAAGAGGAGGAAGAGAATACAGATTACCTTACAGATTCCAATAAGGAAAATGAAACCGATGAAGAGAATACTGTACGTATGGCTGAAAAATTTACTTTTTGAAATTGTGCAGCATTTTTATAGTATTTGAATTTTAGTCACGAAACTGAATTTGTTTCTTTTGATTATGAAAAATATTTCTTTAGAAATTCATTTTCAATTTGTTTTCCTAACCATTTTCTTTAAATTCTTTTAACATTGAATAATGTTAGATATTTTACTCACTTTACTCCTTGAGTTATGTTAAACAAGTTGTCAATACTAAAAGGCTTTGCCCTAGAAAACATTACAGTTAAAATTTCTGGTCTGATTTTGTTGTTTTGTTTTAATAAGGAGGTAATGATTAAAGGCGGTGGACTTAAGCATGTACCTTGTGTAGAAGATGAGGACTTCATTCAAGCTCTGGATAAAATGATGCTAGAAAATCTACAGGTATTAAATGTCATTTGTTTCAAAGACTCTTCTCAATACAAAACATTGCAGCCCATTACATTCTGGTTCATGTGAAGGCCTCTCCTATCTAAGTGTCTCTTCTGCAGCAGCTTTTGCTAGATCATGTGTAGACAGCTTGCAGCCAGCTTCTTGTCCTTCTTGTATCCCACATCCTGATTTGCATGAGGTAGAGTCGGTGAAAATGCAACACACACAAGATTTGGAACAGAATAATTTCATTGTGCCAATCTTTGCCTTTTATTTCTTAAGTCATATTTCTTTTTTTTTTCTTGAGACAGAGTCTCACTCTGTTGCCCAGGCTGGAGTGCAGTGGCACGATCTCAGCTCACTGCAACCTCTGCCTCCTGGGTTCAAGCAGTTCTTGTGCCTCAGCCTCCCTAGTAGCTGGGATTACAGGCATGTGCCACCACCCCGGGCTAATTTTTGTATTTTAGTAGAGACAGCGTTTTACCGTGTTGGCCAGGTTGGTCTCGACCTCCTGACCTCAGGTGATCCTCCTGCTACGGCCTCCCAAAGTGCTGGGATTACAGCGTGAGCCACCATGCCTGGCCTATTAAGTCATATTTCTAAGACTTCTTTCTTGCAGTTTGTTTGGAAGCCAAACTGTGCAGAAGATAGACATTTGGGGTCATTTAATTCAGTAAATTCTTCCATTTATTAGTTGAATAGCTTCTATGTTAATGGAAAAATGTTTGTTATTTAATGTTTAAAGAAATGCTAGTTGTTTAATGTATTCATAACATTAATAAACTGAATTTTCTAAAAAACACTACTTAGCAGTTTTTTGAATGCCACAGTAATTTCAAGTAACTATATTTTTCTAGAGTTAGAGACAAAATCTTAGACTGCTTACTTCAGCCCTATATGTACTTGTTGTTAACCCTTTGGTGACGTGACGAGTGGGTTTGTTCGAATGGCAGGATGCAGGCCCCACTGGGGTGGGTTTGGTGGAGAATGGGAAGGGAGGGAGTGAAGATACTACATATAGATAAGTCTTGAGGAGTTTTGCCAGAAAGGGAAGAGAAACGGGGAGGTAGCTAGAGAAGGTCGTAGAGTTAAAAGACAGGGTTTTTTTTTTTAAAGGTAGAAGATATTATGGAATCTTTATATGCTCATGGAGCAGTCCTTTAGAGTTGAAATATTGGATTTTACTTTCCTTGATGCTGCTACAGCCAAAGGTATGATCAAGTACAAATTAGTGTTATAGGTGTCTTAGGTGATCTTCTTTCTTTATATATTAAAATAACATGTCTTCATATATCCAGAAAGCTCCTAATTTATGAAATAAATCTTACATTTATGTTATTTAGGAGCGCAAGCAATCAAATAAAACATAATCATTATAATCCCTTGGAGGAGAGAATAGTTTACTTCTCTGAGAAACTTCCCATCTTATATAAATCAGTAGCCATTTACTCAGCCACTCATTTCTTTAGCAGATATGTTTATTGGGTACCTATTGTGTGCTTAACAGTGTGCATCGGGCTAAGTATAAAGTGATAAATACAACTGAGGTGGTTCCTGTTCTAACAGAAGGTAGATATTTAACAACTAAACAAATATATCATTTCAAATTGTGATAAATGCTAAGAGCAGAATGCTTTGGTAGAGATTAAGGGAAGGGCATTCCTAGATAGGATAGTGGGGAAGAAGTCTCTGAGGTCATGAATTTCAAACAGGGCAAAGTAAAGTGGAGCCATCCATCCAGGTGAAAATTTAAGGGAAGATGGGAACAATGTGTCAAATGTCTTGAGGGAGAAAAGAACCTGTATTTAAAAAACTAAAAGGCGGCCAGCACTAATAGAGGGCGGGGCACAATCCTGTGTGGGAGGGCAGAGGTACCCACCAGGGCAAGGCTAAAAGCAGGGAGCCTGGACAGAAGGCTTTTGTAGTGATTCAGGTGAGAGATGACAGTCAGCTGTCTAGCATATGGCAAGGCACATGGAGAGAAGTCTGGATTTGAGCTATTTCGGAGGTAGAACGACCTGGCTTATTTGGCGCTGGATTGGATATGGGTGTGTAGGGGGTGAGGCATCAAAGATGATAGTTGGTTTTCCAGATTGGGCCACTGGCTAATCTCTGGGACAGGAAACAAGGGACCAATGAGCAAAAGTTTCCCTTTGGCCGTGTCCACTTGAGAAGCCTTTGAGGTGTCCAAGTGGAAATGTATGGAGATCAGAAGGTTACGTGGAGTGAAAACAGAAATGTGATGGGTAGAGTATATTGAAAGCATCGGAACAAATGATTCATCCCCGGTGTAAAGTGTGGACAGAGAAGAGAAGCAGGGTCAGGATTGAGCCCTGAAGAACCTTAACATTTAGAAATAAGGTAGAAAAGCTGATGAAGTCAAAGGAATAGAAGTTTTTGATATGGTCCAATAATTTTTGCTTATTGACAGTTCTTGAAGAAGCAAGCTGGAAGGATGGGAAGATGTAATCGAGGAGGGAAGTTCGAATTCACATTTTTGCAGGAGATGTGCTTTTTGTGCTGGAGAAAAACTTAATTCTATATTAGGCCCTAGTTTTTCAGCATTATCAAAATACTGAACAACTGTACAGAGTCTCTTTGTTTTGATGAGAATGTCATAGGAGGATGCAGTATCCTAGAGATATTATTTTTCCATAAATCAAGCCCTTAAACTTAGTATAATCCTAATTATATCACACCAGGAAGATGTTTTGTTTTGTTTTTCCAAGGGAAAGAGAAGAGCAGGGAGATCAATGCAGAATGAATTTAAAATTATTTCTTAAAACATCTGTAAGAATAAGCAAAATAGCTAACAGATTTTCAGGAAATGAGTGAAATGCTCTACAAGATATGAAAACATGGCTGGGCACTGTGGCTCACACCTGTAATCCCAGCACTTTGGGAGGCCGAGGCGGGTGGATCACCTGAGGTCAGGAGTTCAAGACCAGCCTGGCCAACATGGTGAAACCCTGTCTCTACTAAAAATACAAAAAAATTAGCCAGGCATGGTGGCAGGCGCCTGTAATCCCAGCTACTCAGGAGGCTGAGTCAGGAGAATCACTTGAACCTGGGAGGTGGAGGTTGCAGTGAGCCGAGATCACGCCATTGCACTCCAGCCGGGGGAGACAAGAGCGAGACTTCGTCTTAAAAAAAAAAAAAGATAAAACATTTTAAACTGACAATAATAGTTTGATACAGGAACAGATTAATGAAATGGAGAAGAATCCAAAATAGACCCAAAACATGACCGTTTAGTAATATGATGAAGATAACGTTGCAAATCAGTTAAGGGAAAACAGACAATAAACAAAAATAAAGTTGACGTTCTGTTTTATTTCCACAGCAGAATTAATTGCAAATCTATCAAACACTCCAATAATTATGAAGACTGTTGGGCCCTGCATCAAGTGCTTTACATCTATTCTTTGCATAGTGCTGTCAGATACTGTTAGTATTCCTTTGCTTTAGCTAAAGAAACAGAGGCTTGGAAAGACAAGAAACTTGCTGGCCAGGCACAGTGGCTCAATGCCTGTAATCCCATCACTTTGGGAGGCCGAGGTGGGAGGATCACGAGGTCAGGAGATCGAGACCCTCCTAGCTAACACGGTGAAACCCCGTCTCCAGTAAATACAAAAAATTAGCTGGTTGTGGTGGTGGGTGCCTGTAGTCCCAGCTACTTGGGAGGCTGAGACAGGATAATCGCTTGAACCCAGGAGGCAGAGGTTTCAGTGAGCTGAGACTGTGCCACTGCACAGTCTCTCTGCATGGGGGGGACAGAGTGAGACTCCGTCTCCAAAAAAAAAAAAAAAAAAAAAAAAAAAAACAAAAAAAAAACTTGCTTAAGACCACATGGCTAGGACGTGGTGGAGTTTGTTCTCAACTGTTTTACTGTGTTGCCTTCTAGCACAGGATGCTATAAGAAACTTGAAGAAATGACAGGCCAGGAAGAAAATATTTATGGTCTACACAAAGGCCTAATACTTTTACTATAGCAAATCAATGAGAAATGATGAATGATCTAGTTTTTTTTTTTATTGTGTGAAAGGTAATGGCAAAATCATGCCAAAGGTCATGAGTAATAAAATAGTATGCAAATTAAGATGAGCCTTTTCACTTATCAGACCATCAGATATTGGGATTTACTAAGTGATAATATCCAGTGTGGTTTTGTTTGAGTAATGGTTTGGTTTGTAAATGTCTATCAGTCCAGCTTTTTTAGAGGGAAATTCAGTAAACCTGTCGAATGGGCTTGCCAGTTGATCTAAAAATTTACCCCTAGTAAGTAATTCTCTTTATAAAGCTAAATATACAAAGATGTCACATTGTGATAGAAAAGTCCTTCCATGTGTGGGAAGGATCATTTAAAAAAAAAATTGTCTGTCAATAATTAAATAATAAGGGCATATCAATGTAATTAGCTCTGTATATACTCAAAGAGAAAGATAACCAAGATATAGGATTAAACAGAAGAAAAAATATGTATGTTGAGTGTACAGCAATATGCATTGTGGTTGCTTGTGTCTATATGTATATATTATTAGTATATGCAAGAAAAAATCCAAAAGAACATACTGCATTGTTAATAGTTGAAAAAATCCGAAAGAACATACTCCATTGTTAATAGTTGTTGCATCTTGGGGTTGGGGCAGTGGGAAGTCGCTGGAGGAGTTAGTATGGACATACTTACCAACACATTTTTGTATTTAAATATTTTATGAAAAGAATATGTTAATTTTATAATCAAGGAGAAAAATCAAGATTTGTCTATTGTGATCCTTTTGAATTTTAAGTAAAAAGTCTTTATAAATCTTACGAACCTGGGAAGACTTCAAGCAGATTATGATAAACTAGAGCTTAAAAAAGAAACAATAAAACAGGATTTTGCTTGATTTGCAAGTCTCTTGAATATATGGAGCCTATATCAGAAGACTATTTAAATGGTGGTAGAGCAGTTTCTAAGACATTGAGGGCCTTTCAGCATGACCTGCCTACCTTCCTGGAACATTCAGCTCGTCCCTCTTTGCTGCTCATTCATCAGTCATGTGTTTGCAGTTCCCTAAGTGTACCATGCTGGTCCATGTCCTTGCTTTGCACCTGTTCTTCCCCTGCCTCGATTCCCTCCGCATTCCCCAAACTGCTCTTTTACCATCTGCTTAGAAGAAGTTTATGAAGTCTTTAACATTCTCAAATGTGCCATTTCTATTCAGCCTTTCGTGAAGGGCACGCAACCACTCTCAGCCAGGTACAGGTAGTCACTTCATCTCCTCCACAGGTGCTGTACACCTATGATGTATCATCATCATTGTTTCTGTATCTGTCTTAACAAGCTTATGAGCTCTTTGAGTGTAGAGGCTAAGTATTTTTAACATTACTATCTCCAAGCCTGTAACACATGGCAAGTCTTCGGTGAAGGTTCATTTAATTAATTGGTTGGAAAATTCAGTGTAAATGCTAAAAATAATTGATATTACCAACCAAGGAATTAATACAAATGGTCATAGATTCCATTCATTCTTCAGTACTCCCTGAACTCCTGCTGTGGGTAACGCCCTGCTGGGGAGCCCTGGAGAAAGGGATGCAGTGATGAGCCCACCTTGCCTGGTGATTATGAAGGAAGATGTGATCTAGGAGGATGAATAGAAGGGTGTAGTGTATTTGAGGAGCAGGGGGATTTGGTAGAACCCGCAGCACTGCGTGCTTGGGAGAGGCTGGAGCAGTCAACAGCAGCCAAGTCCTGCATTTCCTTCCATGTCATAGGCAGAGGTGTTAGGTGGAGGGAGAAATACTCCCTAGATTTATCCACGTTTCAGAAAGAGTATTATGGTGGTTGTAATTGTTGACTGTTATGGCTCTTATGATTGTTGTGTTTTAAGAAATACAGCATTGAATGAGTTTGCAATTTATATTGACATATATCCGTATATATCTTGGAGTGTTTATTATGTCCTTTTTAATTTCTTTTAGCAACGAAGTGGTGAATCTGTTAAAGTGCACCAACTAGATGTTGCCATTCCTTTGCATCTCAAAAGCCAGCTGAGGAAAGGGCCCCCACTGGGAGGTGGGGAAGGAGAGGCTGAGTCTGCAGACACAATGCCGTTTGTCATGTTAACAAGAAAAGGCAATAAACAGCAGGTAAGAAACTGCCCGCCCTGTAATTATAGCTGATTGTGAGTTATACAGTTAGGTTTTAACTTATCTTTGACCTACAAGGGGATAAGGGTTGGACAGTTTTAAACCATTCAGTGGTAGAATAATTTCTTCCCTTATATAGTTTTTTTTGTTTTTGTTTTTGTTTTTGTTTTTGTTTTTTTTGAGACGGCGTCTCACTTTGTCGCCCAGGCTGGAGTGGCAGGGTCTTGGCTCACTGCAACCTCCTCCTCCCAGGTTCAAACGATTCTTCTGCCTCAGCCTCCTGAGTAGCTGGGATTACAGGCGTCCACCATGACGCCCGGCTAATTTTTGTATTTTTAGTAGAGACAAGGTTTCACCATGTTGGCCAGGCTGGTCTGGAACTCCTGACCTCAGGTGATCTGCCCATCTCGGCCTCCCAAAGTGCTTGGATTATAGGCGTGAGCAACTGCACTTGGCCCCTTATGTGTTTTAAATCATACATGTTTGTAAGAATATGTAAGTACCTTGACTTCTAGCACAAACTTCCACAAGCAAGCCCCAGGCGGGGAAGGAAAGGAGGATGGCAACCGATGCAGCTCAGGAAGAGGCTCGGCTGCCGTCAGTTGAAAATCACACCAACCCTTCTCCATATCCCTCTCCATTCTTCTTGTTTGCCCTTTCCCCCTTCATACAAGATGGTCCCTCAAAACCGTTTCCCCCTCTACCAAGCTGTTACTCTAGCGATCCATAGTTGATTTGTCAACTATTGAGCATCACTACGTGCCAGGTACTATTCTATTTCAGGTCCTGAGGCTACAGTGATAAACAGAACAATGTTCCTGCCCTTGTGGAACTTATCTCCTACTGAGAGAGCAGAGAGACAAACGCACATATTTGCAGATAGTGAAACATGGTATGAAGAGAATATAGGCCAGCTTTCAGATACACCTTTAGGTGTATTTAGGTCAATTCTGTAAAAATTTGTTTACATCTTAACATTTCTGAGATCAAGTTGCTTCTTAGAGTCCATGAAATCCTGTGTTAACTGACAGCATTTCTTTCTGCTTTAGTGATAAGTAAAATAATGGTGTATCTTAGAATTAATAGAATGTTAGATTTTGTTGCATATGGTAGCTGCCACAGTTATCTTAGACAAGTCCAATACCACATTCGTCTACACAGTCATTTAACAAGTATTTATTATTTACCTGCTACACACCAGGCACTTCTGTGTGCAGAATATAGAGGCAGTTAGCCAGAGTCCTTCCTCTCTTGCGAGCTTTCATTCTGGTGTTGGGAGGCATATGAGAAATACACCAAGTCACGTTGGGATGGCTACCAAGGAGGATAAAGCAGGGTAAGAGGATAGAAAGAGACACGGATGGTGAGATGCCAGGAGAGGGAGGCTGCCTCTTAGGTAGGATGATCAGGGAAGACCCTACAATAAGTTGCATCTGAGATGTCCTCCCCACTAGCACAGCCTCAAACAGATGATGCCTAAATTTTATCCCTGCATTTGTCAGGCAACTTCTCATGTACACCGAGATCAAAATTGTGCACTATACTTGTGCAGTATACAAGTGATATACTTGTACAGCATGAAAGTGATATACTTGAGCAGTATACTACTTGTTGCTGCAGTGATACCACCTATATACCAATTAGAATTGTGGTGTGTGGCCGGGCATAGTGGCTCACACCTGTAATCCCAGCACTTTGGGAGGCCAAGGCGGGCGGATCACAAGGTCAGGGATTCAAGACCAGCCTGACCAACATAGTGAAACCCCGTCTCTACTAAAAATACAAAAATTAGCCAGGCTTGGTGGCGTGTGCCTGTAATCCCAGCTACTCAGGAGGCTGAGGCAGGAGAATCACTTGAACCCAGGAGGTGGAGGTTGTAGTGAGCCAAGATCACACCATTGTACTCCAGCCTGGGCGACAGAACGAGACTCCGTCTCAAAAAAAGAAATAAATAAATAAAATAATCATGGAGTGTGGAGCTGGCAAAGACTTCACGGCATGACTCATGTATTGAGAGTTAACTTTGACAGGATCAGAGCATTGCTGAATCTTCCTCAGACACTGCCATCGTCCGGCCTTGCCTCCAGTCCAGGCTCCAGCCAGGCCTCCTGGTGCTTTCAGGAGAGCCACACCCCTCCCCTCCTTCGACCAGGGTTGGGCTCTGGCACATCCCCATTCCTTTACTCTCCATTCTCTATCTGTGAGGAAAATGAGAGCTTTTTAAAAAATCAGGCCCTAAATTTGGCATTGTCCTGAGATCTTTGCTAAGACTGCTGTCCTCAGAGCACCTGGAAATGCTAATTCACCACTGTTACGAGGATTCACAAATCCCAGCATTTTTGCTTTTCTAGGGACTATTTAATTCTCTGAACCAGACTTTACTATTTCAGTTATCACGTTTTAGATCTCCTTCATTCTCTTTCTCTTTAAAAACTCTTAGCTTCCTCCTCCATTCCCCCCATCACCGGCTTTCTTGGCACACAGTTTCTAAAGGTAATTAGGCTGTAAAGTTGGAAGGCATGCACACATGCACATATCTGTCTGTTGAATTGTGGAGGGCAGTACATGGCAGCTTCAGCTAGATATACCTTGGTCTCCATTCCTGCACAGCTGCTAGATAATGCTGTTACATTGGCACAGGAAGGCCATGATTTTTGTTAACTAAAAGAGAGTTTAGGAATATCTCTTTTTGAAGGTCAGATTGTACAACAGTAAATAATGAGTTTTTTTCCTTCCTCCCTTTCATGAAGTACATGAATATTCATTAACACCTTTGTCAACTCTACACCCCATCTGGCCCTTATAGAACGTGTAGGAATTGAAAATAAATTAATCAATGCCTACTTAAAAGAAACTTGTGGGCTTTGGAAAATAAGTATACTCCAGCAGTCTGAAATTCTAAATTGTATGGGTCAAAATAAGATTATGTGTATTTTAGAAGGAATATTTTTGGTTCAAAGTAGGTAGATTATAAACCGGGTGGCTTATGTAATTTTATGTAAATGAATTTGAAGTCCTTGTTTCTTAAAATGTAGCATTTAGTTTAAATTTTAATTTTTAAGGATATATTATTACTAAATTTTAAAAATATTAGCAGACATGAAATGAAAACTCAGAGTACTTGGTTATTAAGTAAATTTTCAGTGCTTCTAAACTTTATTTGGAATTTTGGAAAATATTCAGTTTTTTGGAACATTATTTGAAGAAACATCGCTGGTATGTTGTGGTCTGAAAAAGAAAGTAGATTTTGTTCTGATTTTTATTCCTTTATTTGGCTTTTGGGTGTTGGCCCTTCTGGTGCAACGGTTTTTCTACAAATGTGAAATGTCTTGCCTTATAGGAATCTTTGGATTTTAAGTGAAAGACCTCTTTGTGCATCAAATTTGTACTCAGAAATAACTTTCTGTTGTGGTCATTAGGGGAAAAAACATTGCACCAATGAAGTGAGTAGTTGCAGAGAAAGAAAAAGATAATGCTTTTAGCCATTTATTTTTTTCTAGATTTAAATATTTCTGAATTAGAATAATAAATGTCAATTAAAACAAGTTTTAATGTAATATAAATGTTATAAAATGCTTTAAAAAGCTTTTTTATTCAAACAAATGCATAACATAGTATAGTTTAATACTGGCAGACAAACCATTTTTGCAATTAATATTTATATAAGGAGTTATTTGTTGTATTTTGACTAGAATAATTGATAGTTACATGTCATAGTAACTTGGGATTGTATGTTTTTTAATTTTAGCTACAGTCATGGAGTAGCTGCAAAATATCAGCTAAATCACCTTCATTGCTATTATGTTCAGGAAATTTAGTTTGAGTGACTTCAATATTTTTATCATCTAATTTGCTATAAAGTAGTGTGTCTCTGTTAATAGTATCTTAGCAGCTCTGCAGTAAAGGCAGTAGGCAAAGGTGGCCATCAGTAAATTTGTCTCTTCATTTCCCCGTATTTATTACTGTCTCTTTTATGTTTTTTTTAAGTACATAATACTTGAGAACTTTGCCTTTTGTAAAACTTGTCTCAGAGTTCATAAAATGTGTTTTTGTTCATCTTTTATTTATAATTGTTTCCCTTTAGAAGATCTAAACGAAGAAATTGTTAATCTTATACGTGAATAAGAAAGCCTATATTTCTCACCTTTTTTGATCACATTACGAAATTTTCTTTATAATGTTTTATACTATTTTATTATTGTGATTAGTACCATCATCATTAGGCTTATTAGTAGATTATGAAGGAAATTTCAAATTTTATCATCAGGAACCTAAAAAGGGGGAAAAATGGCCACCCTGTTTTATTTCTGAGTGTTTAGATAAAAACATCTTAGAGTTGCAACTTCCAGTTCATGATGATTAAGAAATTATCTATCTACCTTTTTTTTTTTTAATTGAGTTGGAGTCTTGCTCTTTTGCCCAGGCTGGAGTGCAGTGGCACAATCTCGGCTCACTGCAACCTCCGCTTCCTGGGTTCAAGCAGTTCTCCTGCCTCAGCCTCCCGGGTAGCTGGGGCTACAAGTGCATGCCACCACACCCAGCTAATTTTTGTGTTTTTAGTAAAGACGGGGTTTCATCATGTTGGCCTGGATGGTCTTGATCTCTTGACCTCGTGATCCGCCCGCCTCGGCCTCCCAAAGTGCTGGGATTACAGGCGTGAGCCACCGTGCCCAGCCTGTACTTGCTATTTTATTTGAAGTCTGTTTTTTCTTTCTCTCAGTGTTCTCAAACTATTTGTAACTCCTTTGTTATTTTCTCCCAGTTTAAGATCCTTAATGTACCCATGTCCTCTCAACTTGCTGCAAATCACTGGAACCAGCAACAGGCAGAACAAGAAGAGAGGATGAGAATGAAAAAGCTCACACTAGATATCAATGAACGGCAAGAACAAGAAGATTATCAAGGTATAAAATCATCTATAAGAGAAGTGGAAATTTTTGTTGCCTTTTGAGCATCAAAATTGTTATTTTGTCTCATCTTCTCATGTCATATTTTTCCATATTTATGCTGAGAAATTCATTTTGTATCCCACTGTTTTTCTTTCACTTATTTGTAAAATAACAATAATATAATTTTCACCATATTTTGCTCTAATTAAATTAGAGTATAAACTGCTAAGCTACGTTTGCAAGCAAGGTGATAATCAATTTTTAATTGCTTCACATTGCCAGCCAGTTGTGTGCAGATTCATTTAACAAACAGTATGCCTTGCTTAATGACAGGGATGCATTCTAAAAAATGTGACATTAGGCAATTTCATCATTGTGCAAACATCATAGAGTGTACTTGACAAACCTAGATGGTGTAGCCTACTACACACTGAGGCTGTATGGTGTAGCTGTTATGAACTGATGGGACCACCATTGTATAGGTGTCTGTCATTGTCTGGAACATGGTCACGCGGCACACGACTGTATTTACCTCCTTTTGTCTACTTGGAGTCCTGGTCTTGAGGAAGCTGTGTTCCTTCAGATTTGAGGAAATACTCAAATTAGGATTCTCATTTTATGCATACATACCCAGCATTTTTCAGTTAGTTGGAACCTTACACATCGAGTCCATGGAGACTTCATAGGCTAGCGTTTTGGTGTTCCTGTGGTATGCAGATTTTACAGCCGTAATAGTTGTTTCTACAGCACTGTACTGAATGAATAAACCGCCATCTGTGCAGGAGAGTGTGTGTAAATCAGTATTTGTGGTTTCCAATCTTTTAATCTCACTTGTAGAATGTTCTCTCCCAGTCGATACCCAACAGTGTTTTTGTTTGTTTTAAGAGCCTTCCTCTGTCACCCAGGCTGGATGGAGTGCAGTGGCGCAATCACTGCAGCCTCAAACTCCTGGGCTCAAGTGATCCTTCTGCCTCTGCCTCAGCCCCCAAGTAGCTAAGATTACAGACATGTGCCACCATACCTGGCTAATTTTTAATTTTTTGTAGAGAGGGGATCTTGCTATGTTGCCCAAGCTCATCTTGAACTCCTGAGCTTGAGCAGTCCTCCCGCCTCTGCATCCCAAAGTGGTAGGGTTACAGACATGAGCCGCCACACCCGGCTCCAACATTCTTAATGATAATAGCTAACACTGGGTGCTTACTCTTTGGCCAGACACTGTTTTATGTACTTTTTCAAAGCATATAATCCTCATAACAATTCTTTGAGATAAGTGTTGTTGTTATCTGCATTTTACATTGAGGGAAATTGAACCTAAAGTCTCACAGCTAGAAAGTGACAGAGCTGGGATATTAACCAGTAGTCTCGCTCTACACACGATGCTCTTAGCTATTGCAATGCACTGCCTCTTAGGCTTTTCTACTGCCTCATAATATAGCTATGTGGTGGCTAGATTCATAGTAAAGGGAACATTGGGTATTAAAAGAGTCTCCTCTCTTGATAATGCTCTTTTAAAACTTCTTAATCATTTTAGTCTGTATAATGGCTATTTTTCTTTAGTCAGCTCCCTGACAGGACTAATAAACTTAATCTCCCCAACATTTCGTTCACTCTGTAGGAGGAGTACATTTCTAAGAGTTAACAGCATTCTCTTTTTTTGCTCCTAATTACAGAAATGTTGCAGTCTCTTGCACAGCGCCCAGCTCCAGCAAACACCAATCGTGAGAGGCGGCCTCGCTACCAACATCCGAAGGGAGCACCTAATGCAGATCTAATCTTTAAGACTGGTGGGAGGTAAAGCAGTCATTACTCCTTCCTTAGCTGTTTGTTTCCATGATGTCCATAAGAATAAATTAGGGAATTCTGGATTATAGTTTTTGGCAAAGGCCCGATTTTTAGCAAAATAGAAAAGTCTTTGATATTTTAGCAAAATAGAAAAGTAGATATTTGAGGGGGAAAAACCTGCTTTATACCATAGTATGGCTGTTCTGTTTTTTTTATTTTTATTTTTATTTTTTGAGACAAGGTCTTGCTCTGTCGTCCAGGCTGAAGTGCAGTGGCACAATCGCAACTCACTCACTACAGCCTCACCCTCCTGGGCTCAAGTGATCCTCCCACATCAGCCTCCCAAGTAGCTGGGACTATAGGCATGCACCACCATACCTGGCTAATTTGTATGTCTTTTGTAGAGACAGAGTCTCGCCATATTGTGTAGGCTAGTCTCGAACTCCTGAGCTCAAGCCATCTGCCCACGTGGCTGTTCTTACAAAGACATTGGTTTCAGCTAGATCTTGGCTTTTGTCCTGTCTGAGTGGACTTCTTTTTTCTTCTTTTGCTTTAATAGGAAGGAGTTGTTATAGATGAGCAAGAGAGAGACATCATAGGCTTTGTGTTAGAATTTCTCAGGTCAGGGTTAATTAATATCGATGTTTACAAAAACTAAAAATCTATTTTCTAGACTTTTAACCATGCAAGTAGAGTTTGTTCCTAAGCTCTTACTTATTTATTTTTTGAGACACAGTCTTGCTCTGTCGCCCAGGCTGGAGTGCAGTGGCGTGATCTCGGCTCACTGCAACCTCTGTCTCCTGGTTCAAGCGATTCTCCAGCCTCAACCTCCCGAGTAGCTGGGACAATAGGGCATGCCACCGCATCTGGCTAATTTTTGTATTTTTAGTAGAGACAGGGTTTCACCATGTTGGCCAGGCTGGTCTCGAACTCCTCACCTCAGGTGATTGCCCGCCTTGGCCTCCCAAAGTGCTGGGATTACAGGCGTGAGCCACCATGCCCGGCCTGTTTTTTTAAATTATAAAATTTCCTGATGGAATTCCTACCAGTTCCACTTAAAGTTAAATTGTTTAATGTGAGATAATTTAAAACTCTATAAAGAATTTGAAAATGAAGATGTTCCCTAATAAGACCTCTTTTATGGTTTTTAGTTTTTTTTTTTTCTGAGGCGGAGTCTGGCTCTGTCGCCCAGGCTGGAATGCAGTGGCGCCATCTCTGCTCACTGCAAGCTCTGCCTCCCGGGTTCACGCCATTCTCCTGCCTCAGCCTCCCGAGTAGCTGGGACCACAGGCGCCCGCCACCAGGCCCGGCTAATTTTTAGTATTTTTAGTAGAGACGGGGTTTCACCGTGTTAGCCAGGATGGTCTCGATCTCCTGACCTCGTGATCCGCCCGCCTCGGCCTCCCAAAGTGTTGGGATTACAGGCGTGAGCCACTGCGCCCGGCCTCTTTTATGTTTTTTAAGGGTAAGTAATTTAAAGTGTTTCTGGGACATGATCTAAAGACCCATATCATCAACTAATTTTGTTCTTTTTTTTGAGACCGAATCTCACTCTGTCACCCAGGCTGGAGTGCAGCAGCGTGATCTTGGCTCTCTGCAACCTCTACCTCCCGGGTTCAAGTGATGCTCCTGCCTCAGCCTCCCAAGTAGTTGGTATTACAGGTGCCCACCCAGCACGCCTGGATAATTTTTGTGTTTTTAGTAGAGATGGGGTTTCACCATGTTGGCCAGGCTGGTCTCGAACTCCTAACCTCAGGTGGTCCACCCACCTCAATTAATTTTGTCTTGCGGTTAAGTTAAAGGGACAGTGGCTTCTGCTGCCCTTACTGATCTCACTTAGTGGATTAGTGTTTAAACCGAGGCTCTACAACAGCCCAAGATGTCACTTTGTTGTTGGGAGCAGGGGAGCAGGTGTAGATGGGGAGTGTGCTGGGGCTGGCAGAATTAGATCATGATTCAGGAGGGTAGCATGGGGGAAAATGTAGTCATCAGAGCCTGTGTCTGTTACTCACTGGACATCACTGAACATATTCATGTGTTCTGGTGGCATCTTTGAACTATTTGCTCAGATAACTCTAATCAAATTGTAATGTAGAAAACTGGCTTGTCAAGACAGTTTAGAGATCTGTTCTTTAGCATCTGTTGAGTATAATTTAAAAAAAAAATCCAAGTTGGAAATGACCTGTAAACCCATCTAATTAGGCACAATAAGATATTAGGTTATTTTTAATTATCCAAACTTTATTAAAGTCCTTTAATTAAGCCTGTTTTATTGCTGCTAAAATGTGGACACTAGCTAGGTTAACAGGCAATGAAAAATGTTCATTTCCTGCTTTTGCATTTTCTTAGAGTAGCTTTAAATATATGCCACAGTGTTCTTGATAACATCTATTCCCTCCTGTCTCATCATCAGAGACCAAAACTGTTAGAATATTTGTATTTCGGTTGGTAAAAAGTAATGCGGTTTTTGCCAATAAAAGTAATGGGAAAAACTGCAATTACTTTTGCACCAGCATAATATCTTGATGTTTTCCATCATCTTCACCTGTTCATATTGCAGCCTAACGTCTCTGAATAGCACGTTTTTATTAATCCCTAACCCCCTCACAATTCATGTATCGCAAGTATAGTGTCTTAGTAATTTGTGTAGACTCACTATGGAGTTGGATGACATAAGGGGCATCCAGTAGGATTTGCCTCCCTCCGTGTACACTCATCCAGGACTGCACTGTGGAAGATGGAGTACAAGACAGGGTCTTTACCTGCACGGTTGTGGTCCAGTAGGGAAGCCGAGTATGGGTACTTGAAAGATAATTCCACCCTCTTCATTTGTCTGTTTCAAAAACCTTGGGTGAGAGTCTGTTAAGGACCAGGCAGGAGATATGTAAGCATGTGTGTGCTGTCATCGACGTGAGCATGTGTGTGCTGTCATCGACGTGCGTGTGAACAGAGGTAAGCCTTTCTTAACCTGGTTACCGGTGTTAGTCACTTTGCAGAGTTCCTTCACTTTCTATTTTCCCTTCCTCCCTCCAATTCCTCCTTGGAAGAATCGGCTACACTTGCCCCTTCTTCCTTGCTCCCACTTGGGTGGCTTACCCCTGCCAAGTCACAGCTGGCAGTGGGAGGCATTGCCCACCCCAGTGGCTATGCTAGAAAAGAGGTTCATTATTGACTCCTGTCACCTTCTCAGTCCCTAGGTCTAGGCAGCTTCTGCCATCACTGGCATCCCCACCTGCCATCTCTTGGCCTCATCTCAGCAGCACTTTGCATTGTAGGCCCTCCTTGTTCTCCCAACAGACCCTTCCTTGGCATCTGTGATTCTGCTGGCTTCTGGGTTTTCCCTTCCCGCGATCACTGTGGCTCCTGCTGCTGACACTGCCTCCTTTCTGCGCTTCCCTGCCTAGGGATGTCTGTGTTCCTTGGGCTCAGCCTGGGCCCTCTTCTCCTTCTGCACTCTCAAAGGAGGTGTCATCCCTCCCAGTGGCCTGACTTCCATCCAGGTCTCCAGCCCAGATCTCACATTTTCATTTCTGACTTTCCACCCCACTGTGACTCAGAGATGGAAGACTCGTGCCCCTGCCCCAGACTCCTCTTCCCCAGGGTCTCCAGTGCAGGGAGAGGAAGCGTTGTCTGCCCTCTTGTCCACAAAAGAAAAGGAAGTTGTGTTATTGACAGCTCCTCCTCCCTCAATCCCTAAATGTAGTTCATTAGCAAATCCTCTGCATTCTGCTCCCAAATGGCCCTCACTCTTGCCTTTTCTATTCTCTGCCCATAGCCAAGACCATGGGTCAAGCCACCATCACCTCTTGCCTGGATTGCTGTTGCTGCCTCAGCCTCCTCATCAGCCTCTCCGTCTCAACCTTCAACCCTTTCCAATTCATTCTCCCGCTATAGACCCAGTGTTCTTTCTAAAACACAAATTTGATATCTGTGTGTGCCCTTCTGCTTAAAATCATCCAATGGCTCCTCGTGGCTTGTAGGATAAAAAGTCTAAACTCCTCAACTTGGTTCCCAAGGCCCTGTGGTGCAGGTGGACATACATTACTGGCTTCATCTCCTGCTGTTCTTTCTCCTGCTGCAGCCTAGCTGACCTTTAGTTCTGTGTTCTTTTTGCCTCCTCTGTGTGGAACAGTCTCCAGCTGTTCCCCTGGAGAACTCCTGCTCCTTCGGGTCCTGCCTTGGTGTTCCTGAGTCTGACATAGGTCAGTGCGGATCTGCTGCCATGACTTATGGTATTTCTGCAGACCTTGTCCTCCTTAAGTGCCGCTTAGCTTGTCTCTATTCCCCATGAGATTACAGGCGATGAGGGCTGGGACCAAGTCTCATGTTGTTTCCATTCTGTCTCCTTCACAGCTCTTGGTGCCTGGCACCTAGTAGGTGCTCAGTAAATATTTGGTGAATGGACAAAAGAACTTTTCACAGTCTGTGTTCAGTCACTGAATAAACGTTCTCATTCCAGTTCTGCTCCCTAGCTCTTCCCTCTGTTTTTCTTTTTTGTAAGAGTCCTAGCTTTTGAGCTAGCCACTCAACCTGTTTTAAGATCTTTTCTTAAAATAGCACCTTAAAAAAAGAAAACCTAACTTGTCCATCAGTCTTAAGAATAGCACTCTGTAAAGTATCACGAATGGAATTTTTATAGTCAATGCTCCTAAAGTATAGGTGCGATAAACATGGTAGATGAACAAACATGGAAACATGAGATTTTACCCTTTAGAGGACCAGATGTTCTTTGCCTTTTTTAAAATTTACATTTTAAGGCTGGTTGTGATGGCTCATACCTGTATCCCAGCACTTTGGGGGGCCGAGGAAGGCAGATCACCTGAGGTCAGGAGTTCGAGACCAGCCTGACCAACATGGTGAAACCCCGTCTCTACTAAAATTAGAAAAATTAGCCGGTCATGGTGGCGGGCACCTATAATCCCAGCTACTCGGGAGTCTGAGGCAGGAGAATCACTCGAACCTGGGAGGTGAGGTTGCAGTGAGCCAAGATTGCGCCATTGCACTCCAGCCTGGGCAACAAGAGCGAAACTCTATTAAAAAAAATCAGTTATTAATATTAGTAATGTTATACAGCAGATAAAGGGAAATTTATTTGGAAACTGATTATAAAGTAGTTTAGGTCTAGGAGCAGTGGCTCACGCCTGTAATCTCAGCACTTTGGGAGGTCGAGGTGGAAGGATCGCTTGAGCCCAGGAGGCAGAGACTGCCAGATCACACCACTGCACTCCAGGTTGGGCGACAGAGCCAGACCCTGTCTCAAAAAAAAAAGTAGTTTAAAAAAAAGATTTTTTTTTTTGAGACGACATGTTGCTCTGTTACCCAGGCTGGAGTGCAGTGACACAATCTCAGTTCAGTGCACCCTCCACCTCCTGGGTTCAAGTGATTCTTCTGTTAGCCTCCCGAGTGGCTGGGATTACAGGTATGCAGTCCACCACTCTTGACTAATTTTTGTATTTTTAATAGAGACATGGTTTCGCCATGTTGGCCAGGCTGGTCTTGAACTCCTGACCTCAGGTGATCTGCCTGCCTGGACCTCCCAAAGTGCTGGGATTATAGGTGTCAGCCACCACGCCCGGCATAAACTATTTTTCTCCTGTAGCTTTTGATGGACTCCCAGATTTTAATTTGTATTTGTATATTTTCTAACCAGGAGATCCTTGAAATAAGGACATAAATTAAAATTTCAGCCCTTTAACAAATAAGAGGCATTTGCTTACAATGAGTTGAAACGGCAGCAGTGCTGTAAGTAAAACTATTATGTAGGGTTTTCTGTATTGCAGAACAAGGTTGTTTTTCTAATACACTAGTATTGAAAATCTGTGAAACTTAACATTTTTGGCAAGTGTTAATACTTACATGGCTTAGATGGTACTAATTCATATGGGTTATTTCAATGCTTCTCAAACTTTAAAATACGTATTAACTCTCTAGACTCTTACTAAAAAGCAAGTTCTGATTAGTTTCTTTTATTATTATTTTTTAATTATTGTGGAAAGCTTCACGAATTTGTGTGTCATTCTTTTTTGTTGTTTTTTGAGATGGAGTCTTGTTCTGTTGCCCAGGCTGGAGTGCAGTGCCGGGATCTCGGCTCACTGCAACCTCTGCCTCCCGAGTTCAAGCAATTCTTGTGCCTCAGCCTCCCAAGTAGCTGTGATTACAGGCATGTGCCACCACGCCCAGCTAATTTTTTTTTTTTTTTTTTTGAGATGGGGTCTCGCTATATCGGAGTGCAGTGGCGTGATCTCTGCTCACTGCAACCTCCGCCTCCCGGGTTCAAGCAATTCTCTGCCTCAGCCTCCCGAGTAGCTGGGATTACAGGCACCTGCCACCACACCTGGCTAATTTTTGTATTTCTAGTAGAGACGGGGTTTCACCATCTTGGCCAGGCTGGTCTTGAACTCCTGACCTCATGATCCACCCTCCTCGGCCTCCCAAAGTGCTGGGATTACAGGCATGAGCCACCGCGCCCAGCCAAATTTTTGTATTTTTAGTAGAGATGAGGTCTCACCATGTTGGCCAGGCTGGTCTCCAAAACTCCTGACCTCAAGTGATCTGCCTGCGTTAGCCTCCCAAAGTGCTGAGGGTACAGGCGTGAGCCACTGCACCCCACCTGCATGTCATCCTTGCACAGGGCCATGCTAGTCTTCTCTGTATCACTACAATTTTTAGTATATGTGCTGCTGAAGTGAGCACAACAAGCTCTGGTTACTTTTAAACAAGATCTCCAGTGATGTCAAAACTGCTGGTGTGTGGCCTACACTTAGCGGCATAGGAGTATACTATCTGACTTTTAAACCCATCTTTTTAAAAATGATTTTGTTGTTGTTTTATTTTGTTTTTGAGACAGGTTCTTGCTCTGTCACCCAGGCTGGAGTACAGTGGCGTGATCACAGGTCACCGCAGCCTCGACCTCCTGGGCTCAAGCAGTCCTGCCTCAGCCTCTCAGTATCTGGGACTATAGGCACACACCACTACAAATGGCTAATTTTTTTTATTTTTAGTGGAGTCGAGGTCTCACTATGTTGCCCAGGCTGATATTGAACTCTTGTAAACCTATCTTAAGTAGAGTCTGCATTTTTTCATCAGATTTTTTTTTTATATATCTTTATGTAAGGTTAAATTAGTGATAGTTTTGTTATACAATAGAGTCCATTGTAGAATTGCATTTAATCCAAAGTGTATATTGTATTAATAAACAGTTTTTGAGCTGATAGATTTTTGAGTCACTCAGAATGATTGTTTGCTTATAAACCAGTCAAATGACACCTTACACTATAACTAGTGATATAACTATACCTTACTTAGCAAAGATTTTGAACATTTTTTTCCTGTCATTTACTGCATTTATTTAAAGTATTCTAGGTTAGATAGCTGCCTTTTCTTGACTTCAGGAGAGATGCTTGAATCTTCTCTTTCATTCCCTCAGGGAATACTTGTGTTCTTTCCATCAGTTCATTTCTGGAAGAGTTACGGATCTTATCCAGCTGAGGATATACTTTTCCATATTTGCATCTTAACGCTTTGAAAGTTTCTTGCTAAGGTAGCTTGCTCTGTAAGAAACAAACTGTTCATCTGCTTGGGCTGCCATGACAAAATATTACAGCCCTAGTAGCTTAAACGACAGATGTCTGTTGTCTCGCAGCACTGGAGGCCGCCGGCAGGAAACCTGAGGTCAGGGAGTCAGCGGGGCTGGTTCCTTCTGAGGCCTGGAGGAAGACTGCTCCAGGCCTGCCTTCTACTGCTGGGGGTGCCGGCAGTCTTTGGCTTCCATACCTTGTCATACCTCACCCTGGTCTCCGCCTTTGTCTTCACGTGGCCTTTTCCCCCTGTGTGTGTCTGTGTGCAAATTTCCCTTTTTATAGAGATGCAGTCATATGGGATTAGGGCTCCACCCTGCTCCAGTATGGCCTTATCTGAAGTAATTACGTCTACAGCAACCTTGTTTCCAAATACGGTCACATTCTGAGGTCCTGCAGTTCAGTGTTAACATGTGAATTTTGGGGATACACAACTGAACCATAACACAAACTGTGAATTCTTAGCACCTTAAGAATAAGTTGTAGAAGAGAACAGAGCCACTCCTCCAGCCATTGCTCCAATGGCTCTGGTTAAGTTGTAGCTCAGTAGAGAGCATGAATGCTCTCAAAAAAGCACTACAGTTGTCCTCGGTATCCACAGGGGGTTGCTTCCTGGATCCCCTCAGACACCAAAATGCACAGACATTCAAGTCCCTGGTAAAAAATGGTGTAGCATTTATGTATAACATATGCACATCCTCCCGTGTACTTTACATCATCTCTACATTACTTGTAATACCTAATAAAGTGTAGATGCTATGGAGATAGTTGATATACTGTATTGTTTTTAATATTTATGTTATTTTTTATTGTTTGGGTTTTTTTCCCCCGAATATTTTTGGTCCATGGATGTGGAACCCGCAGATGCCAGGGCCACCTGTAACTTGGGGGAGTGACTTGGTGGTGGTGGGTAGCGTTGCAGACGCCATCTTGCTGGACTTTGTCCTGTGGCAGTAAGCTCTCTGATGTGACCCTGTTTGTTCCTTTAGGAGACGTTGATCCAGCAGCACGTGTCATTTCATTAGGTCCTGTATCTGATGTTGTGGTTAGTGGAGTCCTCCAGCAATTGAATGAGAGCAGTGGACACATCTCAGCAGGTCGGTCTAGAGAGTTGCGAATCTAAACCTGGGACAGGCTGGGGCCAGGAGGCAGAAACACCAGCCTCTGCCAACACCGGAACAAGCCGACGCTTCCAGACAAGGCGGAAAAGGCCTTTTGTAATGGAAATCTCGCGAGGGTTAATCTTCTCTTGAGAATGGCAGTCAAGAAATGAGATGGTTCACTTGACTACTGAGCAGTTACACCAAGGAGAGCGTGAAGGAGATGATTGAGCCAGAGAAGAAACGGGTTGTGATGGTAATGGTGTGGGGGAAATGAACTTGAGCTTTAAACTTGATTTGAGTTTCAGTGTCTCTGAATTGAACATCCCACGTTGGAAGAAGATACATTTGGGGGCTCCAGGACTACAGTAGAAAAGTATAGAGCAAGCAGGAAAATCTTCTAGTAAAACTTACATGCAGGACAACAAAATGATGAAAGATATCCAAATACCAGATAATCCACCAGGAAGGCTTTTGTTTAGGAATTTGTTTCAAGAGGAACAAGGGATGAGGGAGAAAAATCCGTTTTATCCATCAGAGTCAGTGCTATAAAATTGCCTATTAAGGTAAAAGAAAAATGTGGAGACTATTTTACTATACAGAGAGCATTAATTCAGATGGCTTAGAAAAGTGATACCAGCCCAAGAACAGGGATCTAGGTGAGCCCATTGTAAGTATCATTGAAAACAAAACATGCCCGTCAACATGTCACAGAAAACGAACGAAGGACAACAAGAAGTGGATGAGAATATTTTGTTGACCTTCATGGGTTTACAGCCTCTGTCTCTAAACAAAGTATGGAAACAAGTAGAGCTTTTATTTTGCTTTTGTTTTTGTTTTGTTTTTTTTTTTGTTTTCCCCCACTAAATAGAAATGAGGGTCCTTAGTCTGTTTCTGACAATCTGTTAATTTCTTAGGACAGCTGTCTTTGGTTTGCTTTCCAGCAGGCGTAGTATATTTAGTCGGAGAGCACATCTGTATGCGACAACTTGATTACATCTTTTTTTCTAGCTATTTTGCATTTTTTCTTTTACCATGTTTCAGTTTCTGCATGTAGATTTAAATAAAAAACAAAACTTGTAAAGTTGTAACATTTCACATGGAAATGCTGCCCAATCTTCACCAGCTTCAGAAATCTGACCTTTGCCGATGCTGCAATAAAGTGTTGTAATTTAGATTTGGCGTGGTGTTGTTTTGTTGGGTTTGGGTTTTGGAAACCGATTGAACGGGTAAATTGGTATCTCCCAGCGTCATCTTTGTGCTTTAAAAATACATTCTCGGCCGGGTGCGGCGGCTCACGCCTGTAATCCCAGCACTTTGGGAGGCCGAGGTGGGCGGATCACGAGGTCAGAAGATCGAGACCATCCTGGCTAACACAATGAAACACCATCTGTACTAAAAATACAAAAAATTAGCCGGGCGCGGTGGTGGACACCTATAGTCCCAGCTACTCGGGAGGCTGAGGCAGGCGAATGGCGTGAACCCGGGAGGCGGAGCTTGCAGTGAGCCGAGATCGCGCCACTGCACTCCGGCCTGGGCGAAAGAGCCAGACTCCGTCTCAAAAAAAACAAAAATACATTCTCAGACGACTAGTGTTGTGTTCACCTTAAGGATTCCATCTCTGCATGACTTTTCTTAGGTGCCGGAGTTAATGTACCTTTGGGGCTAATGAAAAAAAAAGTAGCCTACACAGACCAATAGAATGCACATTTTTAGAAGAGGCCAAATACTGATGAAGATGGGAAATGGTACAGCGTGGTTCAGCCTGGGGCAGTGTTTGTGATTTATGTGGGCAGAGCCTCTGCAAAGCAGGTAACTCACAAAGGAACAGCAGGAACCACTCTTGGTCATCTCTTGCCAGGTGTTAATTTTAAGGCTGATTTACACACTCCAAACGGAGTTACTGTAATCACCATTGCTAAAATTTCAAAAATTGAGCTGAGAGTTCTTATCATTTGGAAAAAAACAAGGATTTATTAAAGAAAGAACCTTCCAGATCTCACTTACCGGAAGTTTATCATCCAGCCCTTATCACCATCTTCATCACTGACTTGTGTACTGTTACTCACTGTCCTTTTGTTGGGTTTACAAGTTTATCATTTTTATATTATTTCTAGGTGTCAGATTATTTATTACAGGGAGCCAGGATCATTCTAAATTCACCCTTTAAATTTCATGTCATACACAAGGCAGACAATGTGAAAATCAGGTGCATGGTGATGATTTACCTTTATTCACCTTTCATCTAGAAAGAATAAAGTCACTAGCAGGTGTAATATGTTGGGGAACCAGAAAGTGGGCCAAATTAGATTCTTCACAACATTGCATCTTCAGTTTGAAAGGACAAGCCCCCTGAATTTTGGAAATGTTTATGATTCTCATAACTGTCAGTCTTTTGGGCCTCCTTTTTCCCCCTTGTGATCAGGAGAGGTAAGCAGGTGTTAACACATCTGGCTGTCAGACTTCTTCCTTTGAGACTTTGATTCTTTTTGGGGGAGTGATAAGCTGGAAAGGCATCCCGGCAGCCTCAGGATCTGTCTCAAGGTCAGTCCCCTTAATTCCCTATGGGAGCCTCACAGGCCCTTGGACACTCTGCGTTTACATACAGCTACTGCAGACCTGAGGTGTGCAAAACCAAGCAGCCTGACGGAGGGTGCAGAAAGTGCACAGTGGCTAGGAGAGCGCGAAGCAAGGATCGTGATGAGAAAACAAAAACCCAAACAGAAGCCAGGCACAAACACACAAAAGAGCAAAAACCGGAGAAGCTCAGTATGGTCTTAACCCCAGAGCATACAGAAGATTCGCATTGGAAGAAACACTCATTTTATAGTCAAGGAATCATGCTGAGAGGTGTGTTAATGCCATTCAGTACAGTAGAATCAGTAATTGATGGTTTCAGGATTTTTATAATGAGCAGAAATATTAGTAACTTCATTATAGGAAGGAATACAGTTGACGCTTGAACACTGGTGGTTAGGGTTTATGACCCCCCGTGCAGTCAGAAATTCACAAAGAACTTTTTTTTTTGAGATGGAGTCTCACTCTGTCCCCAGGATGGAGTGCAGTGGTACGATCTCGGCTCACTGCAACCTCCGCCTGGTGGGTTCAAGAGATTCTCCAGCCTCAGCCTCCCAAGTAGCTGGGATAACAGGTGCCTGCCACCTCATCTGGCTAATTTTTGTATTTTTAGTAGAGATGGGGTTTCACCATGTTGGCCAGGCTGGTCTCAAACTCCTGACCTTAGGTGATCCACCTGCCTCGGCCTCTCAAAGTGCTGGGCTCACAGGCATGAGCCACTGCGCCCGGCCTGCATGTAACTTTTGACTCCCCACAGACTTTACAAATATAGCCTGGTGTTGACTGGAAGCCTTGGCAATATCATAAGTAGTCAGTTAACATGTTTTGTATGTTATATGTATTATGTATTTTATTCTTACAATAAAGTGAGCTAAGGATAATGTTATTAAGAAAATCATGGGCCAGGTATGGTGGCTTATGCTTATGATCCCAGCATTTTGGAGGCTGCGGTGGGAAGATCACTTGAGCCATGGAGCTTGTGGCTGCAATGAACAGAGATTGTGCCACTGCACTCCAGCCTGGGCAACTGAGTGAGACCCTGTCTCTAAATAAATACATAAATAAATACATAAATAAATAAATAAGAAAACCATAAGGAAGGGAAAATATATTTACTATTAAGTGGAAGTGGATCGTCATAAAAGTCTTCATCCTCGTCTTCACGTTGAGTAGGTGAGGAGGAGGAGTTGGTCTTGCTGTCTCAGGGGTGGTAGAGGTGGAAGAAAATCCATGTGTAAGTGGGCCCATGCAGTTCAAACCTGTGCTATTCAAGAGTCAACTGTAGTCCTGGAGTAGTGAGACCTACAGTAGAGAGGTGAGACCGCAGATTTCCTGACTCCACCCATGTCATGTAATATCTTCATGATACTCAGAGTGAAAAACTCAAGATATTCTTTGGAAAAGGCAGAGATGCAACATGTCTCAGGTTCCTTTCTAAAATTGTTTTCAAGTTTTTACATATTCAGAGGTAAACTTTCAGCTACTGGGAGCCCAATGTGTCTTGTAGGTTTTTTTGTTTTTGTTTTTTTTGAGTCAAGAGTCTCACTCTGTTGCCCAGGCTGCAGTGCAGTGGCATGATGCCGCTCACTGCAACCTCCCCGTCCCAGGCTCAAGTGATTCTCCCTCCTCAGCCTCCCAAATAGCTAGGATTATAGGTGTGCACCGCCATGCCCGGCTAATTTTTGTATTTTTAATAGAGATGGGGTTTTTCCATGTTGGCCAGGCTGATCTCCTAACCTCAAGTGCTCTGCCTGCCTTGGCCTCCCAAAGTGCTGGGATTACAGGCGTGAGCCACTGCGCCTACCACCCAATGTGTTTCTTAGTTGCAAATGGAAGGTATCGAAATAGCAACTTCTTGTTTGTTTGTTTGTTTGTTTGTTTGTTTGAGACCGAGTCTCACTCTGTTGCCCAGGCTGGAGTGCAGTGGCTGATCTCGGCTCACTGCAGCCTCCACCTCTTGGGTTCAAGCGATTCTCCTGCCTCACTCTCCCGAGTAGCTGGGATTACAGGTGCCCACTACCACACCTGGCTAGTTTTTGTATTTTTAGTAGAGCTGGGGTTTCACCATGTTGGCCAGGCTGGTCTTGAGCTTCTGACCTCAAGTGATCCACCCGCCTTGGTGTCTCAAAGTGCTTGGATTGCAGGCGTGAGCCACCGCACCCGGCCAGATTTAAACTTGTATATGAATACTTGGAGACCCAGGGAAAACAGAGATTCATTGGACAGATAGCTATTGATCTCACTCTATGTGCTAAGGCACTGTTGTAAGCCCTGGGGATAGAGGTGGAGGGATAGTCACTGCCCTGGAGGAACTAACATCCTTCCAGCAGGGGAGACAGACAGAAATGTGAACAATTCAGTGAATTTAAGCCATGGTATCTGTGAAGTGCTTAGAGCAAGGCTTGGCACGTAGGAAGGATTCCTTCAGTGGCCGCTGCTGTAATTACACCTTTGCGTGTGCTGTTTCCTAGGCTCATGCCCTCTAGCCTTTTTTTTTTTTTCTGAGACGGAGTCTTGCCCTGTCGTCCAGGCTGGAGTGCAGTAGTGCGATCTCGGCTCACTGCAGCCTCTGCCTCCCGGGTTCAAGTGATTCTCCTGCCTCAGCCTCCCGAGTAGCTGGGATTACAGGCATGCACCACCACTTCCAAGTAATTTTGTATTTTTAGTAGAGGCAGGGTTTCTCCATGTTGGTCAGGCTGGTCTCGAATTCCTGACCTCAGGTCATCCATCTGCCTCAGCCTCCCAGAGTGCTAAGATTACAGGCATGAACCACTGCGCCCGGCCGACACACACGACTTTCAACAACTACGCTTTATTGGGCATAGAAACGTACCTGAACAGTAGTGGGAACCATGGGAATGCCACTCTTCAGGGAATATGGCCTTGCCAAGCAGAGAGAGAATGTTCCCACCTCCCCAGAGACCACTGAACACTTAAATTCAGGCACAAACCTTTTATTCTCTCATTAATGTTTCTTCTGTATGCTCTTCCCTCCCAAAGTTGGGAGGCCATTTGAATATCAAGGAGAAATATGTAGTATTCCCAGTTTATATGATTCTTTCATCCAAAAAGTATCATGGCAGCTTCTGAGCCCTGCAATGTGCCTAGACAGGAACTGGCCTGGGTCAAACCACCCCAGGTGTTAGTTTCTGAGATACATTGTGGATGGCGGTCAGGACAAACAAAATCCAAGGTGCCCTTTGGAAAAGATGGGAATTCTATTTTTTTTTTTTTTTTTTTTTTTTTTGAGATGGAGTTTTGCCGCCAGGCTGGAGTGCAGTGGCGCAATCTCAGCTCACTGCAACCTCTGCCTCCCAGATTCAAGCGATTTTCCAGCCTCAGCCTCCCAAGTAGCTGGGATAACAGGTGCCTGCCACCTCGTCTGGCTAATTTTTGTATTTTTAGTAGAGATGGGGTTTCACCATGTTGGCCAGGCTGGTCTCAAACTCCTGACCTTAGGTGATCTACCTGCCTCAGCCTCTCAAAGTGCTGGGTTCACAGGCATGAGCCACAGCGCCCGGCCTGCATGTAACTTTTGACTCCCCACAGACTTTACAAATATAGCCTGGTGTTGACTGGAAGCCTTAGCAATATCATAAGTAGTCAGTTAACATGTTTTGTATGTTATATGTATTATGTATTTTATTCTTACAATAAAGTGAGCTAAGGATAATGTTATTAAGAAAATCATGGGCCCAGGTATGGTGGCTTATGCTTATGATCCCAGCATTTTGGAGGCTGCGGTGGGAAGATCACTTGAGCCATGGAGCTTGTGGCTGCAATGAACAGAGATTGTGCCACTGCACTCCAGCCTGGGCAACTGAGTGAGACCCTGTCTCTAAATAAATACATAAATAAATAAGAAAACCATAAGGAAGGGAAAATATATTTACTACTAAGTGGAAGTGGATCGTCATAAAAGCCTTCATCCTCGTCTTCACATTGAGTAGGTGAGGAGGAGGAGTTGGTCTTGCTGTCTCAGGGGTGGTAGAGGTGGAAGAAAATCCATGTGTAAGTGGGCCCATGCAGTTCAAACCTGTGCTATTCAAGAGTCAACTGTAGTCCTGGAGTAGTGAGACCTACAGTAGAGAGGTGAGACCGCAGATTTCCTGACTCCACCCATGTCATGTAATATCTTCATGATACTCAGAGCGAAAAACTCAAGATATTCTTTGGAAAAGGCAGAGATGCAACATGTCTCAGGTTCCTTTCTAAAATTGTTTTCATCTGGCCAGGCGCGGTGGCTCATGCCTGTAATCCCAGCACTTTGGGAGGCCGAGGTGGGCGGATCACAAGGTCAGGAGATCAAGACCATCCTGGCTAAAACAGTGAAACCCGGTCTCTACTAAAATTACAAAAAAAAATTAGCCGGGCATGGTGGCGGGCGCCTGTAGTCCCAGCTGGAGGCTGAGGCAGGAGAATGGCGTGAACCCGGGAGGCGGAGCTTGCAGTGAGCCGAGATCGCGCCACTGCACTCCAACCTGGGTGACAGAGCGAGACTCTGTCTCAAAAAAAAAAAAATGTTTTCAAGTTTTTATATATTCAGAGGTAACCTTTCAGCTATTGGGAGCCCAATGTGTCTTGTAGATTTTTTTGTTTTTGTTTTTGTTTTGAGACAGAGTCTCACTCTGATGCCCAGGCTGCAGTGCAGTGGCATGATCTCTGCTCACTGCAACTTCTGCCTCCGGGGCTCAAGCGATTCTCCCACCTCAGCCTCCCAAGTAGCTGGGATTATAGGTGTGCATCACCATGCCTGGCTGATTTGTGTATTTTTAGTAGAGATGTGGTTTCTCCATGTTGGCCAGGCTGGTCTCGAACTCCTGACCTCAAGTGCTCCATCCGCCTCGGCCTCCCAAAGTGCTGGGATTACAGGCATAAGCCACTGTGCCTGGCCGGATTTAAACTTTTATATGAATACTTGGAGACCCAGGGAAAACAGAGATTCACTGGACAGATAGCTATTGATCTCACTCTATGTGCTAAGGCACTGTTGTAAGCCCTGGGGATAGAGGTGGAGGGACAGTCACTGCCCTGGAGGAACTAACATCCTTCCAGCAGGGGAAACAGATAAGAAATGTGAACAATTCAGTGAACTTAAGCCATGGTATCTGTGAAGAGCTTAGAGCAAGGCTTGGCACGTAGGAAGGATTCCTTCAGTGGCCGTTGCTGTAATTACCCCTTTGTGTGTGCTGTTTCCTAGGCTCATGCCTCTTGCCTTTCAAGATTCAGTAAGCACCACCTCTTCATGGAAATGCGCGGCCGTCCTCTGGGCCCCCTGCGTGATTTAGGGGCTCCTTCCCTTGAGCTTTAGTAGGAGGTGTCTCTCTGCCTGCCCGCAGCCCTGGCGGAGGGATGAGTTTAAAGGGAGGGTGGTTAGTCGGCTGCTGTCTTGCAAAAGAAACAAGCTTGACCTGCGTACAGCAGTCTAAGGTTAGGAATGGGGGTGCCCTGGGAAGTGCTCAACAAATGCTCCCTCCCACCACCCAGACTATGGAGATTTGGAGGGAATGGCCCTGCCCTGGTTTGGAACAGGGCTTCCGCGCTTCACCCGAACGCTGCCTGACCTCAGGCTTGCTGGTGAGCTGTCACTTGTCTAGTCCGGCTCCACCAGAGGAGGTCAGGAATTTGGGAAATAAAGGCAGGTCTTGCCAGTCACCATGTCCCCATTTCACACTGACTCTGGATGGCGGCACGGTCACTTAGAGCCTGCTGGTGTCAGTGCTGGCAGGAAATAGCTTGCCTGGACTGATGGGCAGAGAACGCTGACCTACTGCCACAAACTGTTAGCTTCGTTTGTAATCTACCAGATGAACAGGCAAGCTTCATGTACACTTGCCACTAGGGAGCATTCAGCTGTGGAACATTGTTGCAGCAGAAGCCCAGAGGCAAGAAATACCTGCTACAGTCAGAGGAGAGTGAAGGTTCCAGGCTGGCCGTGGTGGCCCCTCATTAGATACACACTGAGCCCCAGCTTCGGCACTTCCTACCATTATGACCTTGGGTAGTTATTGACCTCTGACTCTCGGTTTTCTTATCTGTAAGATGGGGATAACTTAGTAGGGTTGTATGAGGAGTTAATGGGATAAAGGACATGAGAGGGTGGCTTTTTTTTTTTTTTTTGAGACGGAGTCTCGCTCTGTCGTCCAGGCTGGAATGCAATGGCACGATCTAGGCTCACTGCAAGCTCCGTCTCCCGGGTTCACGCCATTCTCCTGCCTCAGCCTCCTGAGTAGCTGGGACTACAGGCACCCGCCACCATGCCTGGCTAATTTTTTTTGTATTTTTAGTAGAGATGGGGTTTCCCCGTGTTAGCCAGGATGGTCTCAATTTCCTGACCTCGTGATCTGCCCGCCTCGGCCTCCCAAAGTGCTGGGATTACAGGCGTGAGCCACCTCGCCCAGCCAGGGACAGTGGCTGTTATAGAGTAAGTGCTGAAGGAAGGTTAACTATTAGTATTATCATGATCATAGTGTCTGTGTGTCGGATACAGTGTTGAACACACAGTGGACCAAGCAGGCTCTGTCCTTGAAGACCTCAGAAACCCCTCAGGTGTACACAGTCAATATCAGGTTCAGAACTGGGCAGCTAAAATCACACACATGACTTTCAACAACTATGCTTTATTGCACATAGAAACGTACCTGAATAGTAGTGGGAACCATGGGAATGCCACCCTTCAGGGAATACGGCCTTGCCAAGTAGAGAAACAATGTCCCTACCTCCCCAGAGACCACTGAACACTTGAATTCAGGCACAAACCTTTTATTCTCTTATTAATGTTTCTTCTGTATGCTCTTCCCTCCCAATAATGTTGGGAGGCTATTGAATATCAAGGAGAAATACATGGTATTCCCAGTTTATATGATTCCTTCATCCAAAAAGTATCATGGCAGCTTCTGAGCCCTGCAAAGTGCCTAGACAGGAACTGGCATCAGTCAAACCACCCCAGGTGTTAGCTTCTGAGATACATCGTGGATGGTGGTCAGGACCAACAAAATTCAAGGTGCCCTTTGAAAAAGATGGGAATTCTTTTTTTTTTTTTTTTTTTTTTTTGATGGAGTCTAGTTCTGTCACCAGGCTGGAGTGCAGTGGCACGATCTCGGCTCACTGCAACCTTTGCCTCCCAGGTTCAAGCGATTCTCCTGCCTCAGCCTCCTGAGTAGCTGGGATTGGAGGCATGTGCCACCATGCCCAGCTAATTTTTGTATTTTTAGTAGAGATGGGGTTTCACCATGTTGGCCAGGATGGTCTCAATCTCCTGACCTCATGATCCGCCCACCTCGGCCTCCTAAAGTGCTGGGATTACAAGCGTGAGCCACTGCGCCTGGCTGAAAAGATGGGAATTTGGGAATTCTTTTTTTTTTTCTTTTTTGAGAGAAGTCTCGCTCTTGTCCCCCAGGCTTGAGTGCAATGGCTCCATCTCGGCTCACTGCAACTCTGCCTCCCGGGTTTAAACGATTCTCCTGCCTCTGCCTCCCAAGTAGCTGGGATTAAGGTGCCTGCCACCACGCCTGGCTAATTTTTGTATTTTTTAGTGGAGACAGGATTTCACTATGTTGGCCAGGTTGGTCTCGAACTCCTGACCTCAGGTCATCCACCCACCTTGGCTTCCCAAAGTGCCTGGATTACAGGCATGAGCCACTGCACCCAGCAAGATGGGAATTCTTAAACCCCACAGGCTGGTGACTTTTTCTTTCAGTAGAGTCGGGCCAGAACAATACTCCAGAATCATTTTGAGACTGGAGGTGGGATTTTTACAGGGCTTCGTTGAGACAGGATTGGCAAAGAATAAGTGAAGGAAGCAAAGCAGGAAGAAGATTTGAAATAATCAGTTTTGACCCCTGGCTTGCGTACCTAGAACAAAGGGATGCGGGGGTTGGTTCTCAAATCAATGAGCCCACATTTACTATGACTGTGATACCAGGAGCATTGCATTCAACACTGAGAGTATGAGGAATTGTAGGGATTTGCTTAAATCCTTACCCATCTGGAATGTGTACCCTCATCCTTCAACACAGGACTGACCACCGACTGCTCCTTTGCCATCCTTCCGGTACAGTGGCAGCGATCGGGTGTACCCGCAGGACCAGCTCACACCAATTTACTTTTTCTTAAGTTGTTACAGGTGACAGAGCCAAAATTGCCAGGCACGCACAGCAGGAAGGGTTTGACATCCTCATTGTTAACACCACAAGCCTGGCAGACCGGCTGCATTGCCATCAGCTGAGACTAGTTAGAACGGCCAGGAGGGCTTGACCCACCTCATCTTGGGGAGACGGGTGGGAGTGTGGCTTCCTGTCTCCGTGCCGGGCACTCACAACCACCTGCGCCATAGTACTGGCTTTTCTGCTTGTGGGGCAGCAGGCGTGTCACCCGGTAACACTGGCTGTGGGTGAAGCAAGACTGGATGTCAGTTCTGCTCCTGCCACTTACCAGGTAAGTTCCGTAACTGAAGCCTCTTTAAAGTATTTGTGTAATGAGAATAAATTTCTGAAAGTTCTAGGGTGATGGTGAAAATAGAATGGAAAACAGGTTCCAGACCTGGGCAGCTAAAATTCCTTCAGCCCTCCTGCGTGCTAGTTACGGGTAATAAATAAGGTTACAGTAATGCACAGGGCAGAGAAAGTCCTGCTTCTGTGGCACCTACGTTTTCCAAGGGTGAGACACATAAACAGTGATTAAGGACAGTGTCTCACGGAGGTCACTGCTGATGGAGACTGTATCTGCTGCCTAGACTGCCTTCCCTGGAGGACTCATGCTGGGAGCTGCCAGGAGTGCTCTTGGCAGGCAGCCTCCAGCTGTCAGCTCCTGGGATGGTCTCGGCTGCAGACGTGGCTGGGGGTGGCCTGGGGACACCCCACGTAAACGCTGGTCAGTGTGGGAGTACGAGGGCCAATGCCTCTGCCCAAGTCAAGGCGACTTGAAAGGGCCGTCCTCACTGGAGGGTTCCTGGGAGCTGTTGCTGGGCCCGTGTCATGGCTTAGTGACTTTTTTTTTTTCTTGGAGTAAGTGACTTGCTCTGTTGCCCAGGCTGGAGTGCAGTGGCATGATCACGGCTCACTGCAGCCTTGGACCTACCAAGCTCAAGTGATCCTCCCACCTCAGCCTCCCAAGTAGCTGGGACTACAGGCACATGCAATCCAGCCCAGCTAACTATTTAAAATTTTTTTGCGGAACAGGGTCTCACTTTGTGGGCCAGGCTGATCTTGAACTCCTAGCCTCAAGCAACCCTCCCACTTTGGCCTCCCACAGTGCTGGGGTCACAGGTTTGAGCCATTGTGCCCACGACCGCTCAGTGGCTTGTTGGCTACCCCGGGTCGGATGTGTGGAGGAGGAGTCCTCCAGGCCAAGAGAGAATTAAGAGCTGACAGGGGGTCAGCTCCAGACTGGGGGACACAGTGCAAGAGAAGAGGACAGAGGGAAGGGACTGAGTGTGGCCCTTTGAGGAAGGAGGATGCAGCGGGAGGTGGAGAGAGCTGCAGTGGAAGCGGCGTGAGGGCAGGGCCAGTGCTGGAGTGGGCTTGGTCGCCAGTGGGACGTGTACGTTTCCTTCTAAGTGTTACGGGGTTGGTTGGATCTGACTTGAAGGTTCACTCTGGCTGTGGGGTGGGGAGCAGATGGTAGGGGCTGAGGTGGAGTCAGGAGGGCGAGGCCCTGGACATGGGACGCTTGGGGGATGGTGGATGGGAGGAAAAGAGCAGACAGGCTCGAGCGTGTGTTTCCAGCAGAGCTGCCAGGCCTGGGCAATGGGCTCCATGGAGGAGCAGGTGGGGTGAGGGGACTCGGGGCTCCTGGCCTGGCGACTGGGAGAGTGGTAAAGTGTGGGAAGCCCCTGGTGGTGCCACTCGTGGGGAGGGTGAGGATGAGCTGCCTAAGTGCCGTGTGCCTCTCCTGGTCTGCGTGCCTTGCATGGCCTCATGGCTTTACTGCTGCCAGGGAGAATGGCCCCTGCCAGGTGGACCTGGCTTCTGGAGGCCCCCAGTCTGCAGCTGGCAGGCAGAGGTCTGGCCAGGGAGCTGAGGAGGTCGCGTTGCTCTGGGAAGGGCAAAGGAGGCACTGGGGTGCGTGGGAAGGAGGCTCCCCTCCAGAACCGCGGTGACTGAAGATGCTTCTAGGGCCACTTGGGATCCTCAGGCCTGGGGCTGGGGTCTGAGGAGTGCAGGGAGCGCCCCAGCAGGGACAGGAGCTGGGGAGAGGGGCTGGCTGTGAGCTGGCACCTCCCTCCGTTCTGCCTGGCCGGGTTTTCCTTTCCTTCTGCTTTGACTTGGTTTGTTTGCTGGGCATGTGCTTTGCATTTTTCCTAAGCGAGCCTCAGGAGCTGTGATCGAGGTGGCCCGGGCTGCTGGCATTGGACAGTGGAGAACGTCGCACACCTGGGGAGGCCAGAGGGCTCCCGGCCACAGCCTGCTGCGCTGTGTCTTCTTTGAGACCCGAGGCTTGGGAAGCAAGCTTCCTTCCCACAGCAGCAGGCGAGAAGCGCCCACCTGGGCCCAGGCCCTGACCCTTGCCCTGCCGCCTGCCTCACCGCTCACAGCAGGAGGGGCAGAGAATGGCCCGCTGAGGCTCCGTGGCAGTGACCCTAACTCGGCCCCTCAGGAGAAAGCCATCTGGGTCCCTCTCTTGGGGCCCGGCGGGACAGAGGCTGAAGGTGGCGGAGTGTTTACATCACTGGTGCCAGGCCTGTGGGGCTTTGGCGTCCTTCCTTCTTCCACGATCGGCCAGTGCGCCCCACCTGGGCTCCAAGAGCACTCAGCCCTGCCATCTCCGATCGGATCCAAGCGTGGGGGTCAAATGCACAGAAGGCAGCAACACCCTCTGTTACTGGGTGAGGAGACGCAAAATAAGGATGAAAATTCCTGATCACACTTACAACTTAAAACTGTTGATTTATGGCCGGGCGTGGTGGCTCACGCCTGTAATCCCAGCACTTTGGGAGGCCGAGGCGGGCGGATCACGAGGTCAGGAGATTGAGACCATCCTGGCTAACATGGTAAAACCCCTTCTCTACTAAAAATACAAAAAAAAAAAAAAAAAAAATTAGCCGGGCGTGGTGGCGGGCACCTGCAGTCCCAGCTACTCAGGAGGCTGAGGCAGGAGAATGGCATGAACCCGGGAGGCGGAGCTTGCAGTGAGCGGAGATCGCGCCACTGCACTCCAGCCTGGGCGACAGAGCGAGACTCCCTCTCAAAATAAAAATAATAATAATAATAAAAAACTGTTGATTTAGGAAGACTTACAGAAGCACCTGAAGTTGCAAACATAACACACGGTCCCACAAACCCTTCAACCAGCTTCCCCCAATGGTGGCATCTTACAGGATGACTGTCCAACGTCACAACCAGGAAAGTGATATTGGTTCAGTGCTGTTGATCAGACATTGAACCTTACACAGTTCCACCCACTTTCACATACACGTGCGTGCGTGTGTGTGGTTCTATGAGACATGATCCCGTGTATGGGTTCCTGTAACTCCGTACAGTCAAGATACAGAACTTCCACCAACATAGAGGAACTCTCTGTAGTCACGGCACCACTGTCCTTGTCCCCCGGCAACTGCCAATCCGGTCTCCATCCTTACTCTTCTGTCATTCTGAGAATGTTCATGTCAATGGGGTCGTACAGTGTGGCTCTGTGATGGCCTTGGGAGCCCTGCCAGCTGCTGTGCGTGTTGTGTGTTTCTTTTTATGGCTGAGTAGAATTCTGTGGCTGGATGGACCAGCGTTGGTTTAACCATCCGCCCACAGAAGCATGTTTGGGTTGCTTCCGGTTTTTGGCTCTTCTGAATAAAGCTGCTATGAATATTTATGTACAGATTTTGTGTGGTAAAATATATGTAATATAAAATTTACCAGTAACCCTTTTATTGTTTTGTTTTGGTTTTTGTTCTGGTTTTTCCTCAGTCACCCGTGTAGCTGGGATTACAGGCAGGCACCACCACACATGGCTAATTTTTGTATTTTGGGTAGAGATGGGGTTTTACCGTGTTGGCCAGGTTAGTCTCAAACTCCTGACCTTGGGTAATCCACCTGCCTCGGCCTCCCTAAGTGCTGGGATTACAGGCATGAGCCACTGTGCCCGGGCACCAGTAACCTTTAAATATACAATTTAGTACATATATAGTTTTTTGTGAAAAGGTAAGTTTTTTTTTTTTCTTTTTGATGGAGTCTTGCTCTGTTGCCCAGGCTGGAGTGCAGTGGTGTGTTCTAGGTTCATTGCAACCTCCACCTTCCAGGTTCAAGCAATTCTCCTGCCTCAGCCTCCTGAGTAGCTGGGATTACAGGCAGCCACCACCATGCCTGGCTAATTTTTGTATTTTTAGTAGACATGGGGTTTCACCAAGTTGGCCAGGCTGGTCTCAAACTCCTGACCTCAAGCACTCTGCCCGCCTTGGCCTCCCAAAGTGCTGGGATTACAGGTGTGAGCCACCGCAACTGGCCTTTTTTGTTTGATTTTTGCAGTGGGGTCTCATTCTTGTCTAGGCTAGAGTGCAGTCGTGCAACCACAACCCACTGCAGCCTTGATCTCCTGGGCTCAAGTGACCACAGGCGTGTTCTGCCACATCTGGCTAATTTATTATTTTGTAGAGCTGGGGTTCCACTATGTTGCCCAGACTGGGCTCAACTCCTCAGCTCAAGTCATCCTCCTGCCTCAGCCTCCCAAAGTGCTGGGATTACAGGCCTGAGCCACGGTGCCTGGCCTGTAACCATTTTTAAGTGTTCAATTCTGGGTTGGTGCAGGTTTTTGTGTAAATGTAAAAGTGTTCATTTCTCTGGGACAAACACCCAAGAGGATGATTGCTGGGTCACATAGAAAGTGCCTGTTTGGTCTTCTAAGAAAGAGCTGCTGAGCTGTTTTCCAGAGTAAAGGTACCGTCTTACATTCCCACTAGCGGTGTGTGAGAGAGCCAGTTTCTCCCTCATGTTGCAGGCACCTGCTGTTAGGAGTATTTTTATTGTAGCTGCTCTAACTGGTGCGTGGGGGCCTATCCTTGGAGTTCTCATTGGCATTTTCCTCCTGGCTACGATGTTGAATGTGCTTTTATGCACTTGGTTGCCGTTCACACCTCCTCTTTGGTGAAACGTCTGTTTGTCTTTTGCCCGCTTGCTTTTTTTTTTTTTGGAGATGGAGTCTTGCTTTGTTGCCCAGGCTGGAGTGCAATGGTGCGATCTCGGCTCACTGCAACCTCCGCCTCCTGGGTTCATGCCATTCTCCTGCCTCAGCCTCCCGAGTAGCTGGGACTACAGGCGCGTGCCAACACGCCCAGATAATAATTTTTTGAATTTTTGGTAGAGACGGGGTTTCACCGTGTTAGCCAGGATGGTCTCGATCTCCTGACCTCATGATCCGCCCGCCTCGGCCTCCCAAAGTGCTGGGATTCCAGGCTTGAGCCACCGCGCCCGGCCACGCTTTGTAATTTAATTAGAAGCAGGACCTTCATCTGTGTTTTTACCATTGAGTTTTGAGAAGTCTTTATGTACTCTAGATACAAGTCCTTTGTGAGTTACGTGGTTTTTCAACATTTCTCCCCAGTAGGTAGTTTGTCTTTTCATCCTCTTAACAGTTCTTTCACTCAGCAAGTTTTAAATTTCGATGAAGTCCAACCTATTTTTTTTTTTTTTCATGGATTGTGCTTTTGGTATCATGCCTAAGAACTCTACTGTTGGCTGGGGGCAGTGGCTCGTGCCTGTAATCCCAGCACTTTGGGAGGCTGAGGCGGGCGGATCACGTGAGGTCGGGAGTTCAAGGCCAACCTGGCCAACATGGTGAAAACCTGTCTCTACTAAAAATACAAAAATTAGCCAGACGGGGTGTTGCGCGTCTATAATTGCAGCTACTCCGGAGGCTGAGGCAGGAGAATCGTTTGAATCTGGGAGGTGGGGGCTGCAGTGAGCCGAGATTGCACCACTGCACTCCAGCCTGGGCAACACAGCGAGACTGTCTCAAAAACAAAAACCAAAAATCTCTAGTCTTCACCTAGCTCTAAGTCTCAAAGATTTTCTGTTTTCTTTCCTAAAAGTATTATAGTTTTATGTTTTACATTTAGGTCCATGATTCATTTTGAGCCAACTTTTTGTATCAGGTGTGAGGTTTGCGTCGAGGATCACTTTCACCTGTGGACGTCCAGTCTTATCCCATTTGTTAAAGAGCTCTCCTTGCTCTGTTGAATTGCTTTTGCACCTTTGGCAAAAATCAGATGACACGACTATGTTTTATAAGGCAGGTCTGCCAGCAGCAAATTCTCTCAGCTTTTTTTAATTTGGAAGTGTCTTTATTTTGTTTTCAATTTTGAAATAGAGTTTTGCTGGATATATATTAAAAAAAAAAAAACAAAAAACCAGGCTTGGCACGGTGGCTCATGCCTGTAATCCCTGTACTTTGGGAGGCTGAGGCAGGCGGATCACCTGAGGTCAGGAGTTTGAGACCAGCCTGGCCAACATGACAAAATCCCCTGTCTACTAAGAATACAAAAATTAGCCGGGTGTGGTGGCGCTTGCCTGTAATCCCAGCTACTCTGGAGGCTGAGGCAGGACAATCGCTTGAACCCAGGAGGCAGAGGTTGCAGTGAGCTGAGATCACGCCACTGTGCTCCAGCCTAGGTGACAGAGCAAGACTCCGTCTCAAAAAATCAGTTGCACATGCTCGTGTGGGCCTAGGTGTGGGTTCTGTTCCTTTGGTCTGTCTAGTCCTCCACTAACACCACACTGACTTGGTTGCTGTGGCTGTGGAGTAAGCCTTGAGACTGAGGACAGTGATTTCTCCCTCTTTTTTCTTCATCAGGGTTGTTTTCACCCAATCTAGTTCCTTTGCCTTTCCATATAGATTTTAGAATAAGCTTCTCTATTTCTGCAAAATATGTTGCTGGGATTTTGATAGGAATAGCATTATCTTTGATGCTTTTATGAATGGAATTACTGACTTCATTTTCTTCTTCTTTTTTTTTTTTTTTTTTGAGACAATGCCTTACCCTGTCACCAGGCTGGAGTACAGTGGTGCAATCTCAGCTCACTGCAACCTCCACCTCCCGGGTTCAAGTGATTCTCCTGCCTCAGCCTCCCGAGTAGCTGGATTACAGGTACCCACCACCATACCTGGCTAATTTTTGTATTTTTAGTGGAGATGGGGTTTCACCATGTTGACCAGGCTGGTCTCGAACTCCTGACCTCAAAGAATCCACCCCCGCCTTGGCCTACCAAAGTGCTGGGATTGCAGGCGTGAGCCACCACACCCAGCCACTAATTTCATTTTCAGATTGCGCTAATACGTAGAAATGCAATTGATATTTCTACCCTGATCTTGTATCCTGTGACATTGCTGGACTCTTTCGTTAGTTCTAGTGGTTGTTTTGTACATTCCTTAGGATATTCTTCATCCGGGATCATGGCAGCTGTACCAGCTTTCCAATGTGGATGTCTTTTATGTCTTTTTCTTACCTGACTGCACTGGCTAGACTCTCCAGCACAATAATCAATGAAAGTGGTGGGGGTGATACGGCTGCCTCATTTCCAGTCTTAGAAGGAAAGTCTCTGCAGTATCAACAGAGAAAACCATATACCCACAAAGTGCCAGGATCCTGAGAAAGGGGAGATTGGGTAAGGCGGTCCAGGAAGGCTTTCCTAGAAGATGAGCAGATAGGAAGATGAGCGGATAGGAGGACAGCTCGCCAAGGTCAGGGAGTTTGTGAGTTTGCCCTCATATCCCAGTGCTGGAGCTGGCCACTGAAGAGGGCAGGCTCGGGCTCCTGCTGCAAACGCAGGCTTTGCTGTGCATCCTCTGGCAAGGCAGATGCCCCTGTCCTCTTTGGACCTACAGGGACAGCCTCATGGCCTCTGAGGCTCCTGGGCGCACCCCAGGGTGCATCTCATTTCCTGTCACTCCAAGATGGGGGCAGGCAAACTAAGGTGCTCCCCACTGCTCAAGGGAAGAAAGCTGGGGCCAAGCTTGTGAAACTCTCACCCCAGAGTGTCCGGTACAGTGCTGCCGGTGGAATCCTGCAGACCTTCCTGTGTTGAGAGCCTGACCTCTGTTTGTTCCTCCCTCCATTATTCCATTCATTTGCTTCATGCATCTGTGCTGTTCAGGCTCTGTCCACAGCATCTCTCAAGGCATGGCACGGGATGCTATAGATTAACAAGGCCCTCACTCAGCACACGGCTATAATTGACAGCAGAGGGAGAGTCTCAAATGCACTTCAGGAAAGAGGGTGAGCTCTGGGCTAAAAGAGACCCAGCGATGTGGTCACTGCAGGAAAGGCAGCAGTACATCTGTGTGTGTGTGTGTGTGTGTGTGTGCGCGCGCACGCGCGCGCACACATACAGTGAGATTAGGGCAAGTGGGAGGTGACATGGAGCAGGGCACAGTCAAGCTGAGCCCTAAAAGACGTATAGGATTTTGATAGCAGATGCCTAACAGGCGCTTTTGGGCTCTCTTACAGCAGTGATCCCTGGGCTCTCATGAGGACGCAACTCACCTGGGATCTTGTTAAAATGTGGATTCTGACTCAGTGGGTCTGGGGTGGGCTTTGAGAATCTGGCCCAGCCAGAACTGGAAGGACAGTGTGGGTGGGGACACCTGCCCTACGTATGCCCTTCAGAAACAGTTCTGTTCACTTGAGAGACAAGAGCCGACGGGAGCAGGGCCCCCCAGAAACCTGAAGACCTTAGCTGAGACCTCACGAAGTGGTGGAAGAAGTGAGTCACAGCGTGGCCGGCAGCTGTCGGGGGATGGGGGGGTTCCGCCTCTGAAAACGGCAGGGAGTGTGGCGATGTTTGGGAATAGACTTCGTAACTGCTTAGAGATCCTTCCAGACTTAGGTTTCTATGATGGCAGTGAGGAAACTCTTAAACGGAACTTCCTGAATCCAGGAGAATTCTTGACAGGAGGAAATAGCCGCCAGAAAAAGAATCTCCCTGGGCACGTGTGTGGGCCAGCAGCTCAGCCTGGGCAGGAACCTGGGCATGTGAAGGGCAACCTGCCTTCATTAGGCAACACAGATAAGTCATCCGTTCTGTTTGTATTTGCAGACGGGGCCAAAGTTTTGGTGGGCAAGGTCAGAGCAGACAGCAGGAACCACAGCCTTGGTCAAGATCCGCCCTTGGGAGATGGTTCTTGAAAGGGTGGGGAGGGCGGGCAAGAGCCCATCTCCACTGCAGGGGCCTCTGCCCTCTGCCTTCCGCCTACTGGATGGAACTTGTCTTTCCCTCCCCACTGCATGCCCCCCTGCTGTTTCTGGGCTGCCTTAGGCCAAAAAGACATGTTTTTGAACCCCAAGAAAAATGTTCTTATTAAAACATGTTTTTATCAAAAAACAAATTTTGGGCAATCCCTTTCAGAGCCAGAAATGCCATTTTTAGGAAAATGGAACTTCTGAGACCTGTCTTGGCAGTGTAATAGTGGCTATTGTCTTTCTGGGTGCGGCCGCGCCCAAATGGCAACAGAACATGGTCTTTGGAGAAGCCACATCAACACGTAACAATAAAGCTGGTTTGTTCTCGACATAGCCTTATTGTGACCTTTGCTGGGTATTTTCTGGCTCAGTGTAATAAGGCCATTGCCCCCCTTCAGAACGCTAGGAAAGAAAGGGAAAGTCAAGAAGGCTGTCACCGGGCGGCTGCCTGCTACTGTGGTCACACCCCCAGCGCCACGCCTGCCACAGTGGACAGCCACAGTGAACAGCATCGTCTCATTAGAGATTCCAAAAGGCATTTTACAAAACACAAATCGGTTCCTGGGCTTCGGCTTTTTCTTTCTTTTTTTCTTTTTCTTTTGAGACAGTCTCGCTCTGTCACCTAGGCTGGAGTGTATTGGCCCGATCTCGGCTCACTGCAGCCTCCGCCTTCCGGGTTCAAGCGATTCTCCTGCCTCAACCACCCGAGTAGCTGGGACTACAGGTGCCCGCCGCCACACCTGGCTAATTTTTGTATTTTTAGTAGAGACGGGTTTCACCATGTTGGCCAGGCTGGTCTCGATCTCCTGACCTTGTGATCTGCCCGCCTCGGCATCCCAGAGTGCTGGGATTACAGGCGTGAGCCACCGCACCCAGCCGGCTCTGACTTTTTGGGTTGTGAGAATCTCTGCGGCTCCACCTCAAATCACACCTGCAAAGAGGCGCCACTCCTGCGCCCCTGCCAGCCAGTGGTGGTGCCGCGCCAGGAAGAGCTGGGGCTGGCGGGAGTGTGACTCCTGTGCGTTTTGGCCATGCCCACCTCTTGTGGGTGGGTGAAGCGAGTGGAAATAGCAAAGGAGCGTGTCATGTCCAGGGACCACAGGACCCAGGCTTTGTTTGGTCCTAACTTGAGACACTTACTCCTGCTGTCCCTGGAGGCAGCTCCTGGTTGGTGATGGCGGAGTTGGGAGATGTGGTCAGTAGGCCTCGTTCTGCAGGCACTGGGCTCACTCAGGAAATGAGTCTTTAAGAACTGAATGGCCGGCCGGGCCTGGTGGCTCACGCCTGTAATCCCAGCATTTTGGGAGGCCGAGGTGGGTGGATCATGAGGTCAGGAGATCGAGACCATCCTGGCCAACATGGTGAAACCATCTCTACTACAAAAATTAGCTGGGCATGGTGGCGGCGTGCACCTGTGGTCCCAGCTACTCAGGAGGCTGAGGCAGGAGAATCGCTTGAACCTGGGAGGTGGAGGTTGCAGTGAGCCAAGATCGTGCCACTGTACTCCAGCCTGGTGACAGAGCAAGACTCTGCCTCAAAAAAAAAAAAAAAGAACTGAATGACCTTGTAGAAGGCAGCCCACCTGCCTCCTGGCGGGGCAGGATCTGCTCCTGTTCTTAGGATGGACTTGATGTGGACGTGGGCTCGATGCAGATGCTTTAGGACTTGCAGGCTCCCGTGAGCCCCTGAGTCTTCACCTCCCTGTTGGGGTGCTGGCTGAGGGTCGTGGGCTGTGAGGGTGGAGAGCGGGATGGCTTCTCATCACCTCTTCAGTGCCTACCCAGATGAGCACAGGGCATGTGGACGATGCCAGGGACCCCGCCGTCTGGCCTGGGCAGTGGCCGTGCGGCTCAACAACACAGTGGGCTTTAGCATACTGCGTGGTCCCGGGGCACGCTCGCTGTACCTGGCTGGATCTAGATGGTCTAGATGGGGTTGGGGCTGGTAGAGTGGGGCCACTGGTTTATGCCTTCTCTCTGTGGTGTCTGACCTTCAGCCTCTCCATCCTGCAGCGGAGATAGCAATGGGAGCTGCTTCATGAACTTGTCACGCGAATGAATTGGTAATTAGCACGCGGCCCTTGGCCAGGTAACTGTTGCATAGAGGCCCACACTTTGCCTCTATTGACTGTTAGTCTTGAGCCTCCCCCTTCGCCCATCCCGTGGTGGAGTCGGCTGGAGTCCCAGAGGCCCGCTGTTTTCCTTGGTGGTGAAAACAGTGAGTGTGCATTGATTGGGGCTGTTGGACGTGAGGGGGCCACAACGCCTTGTCAAGTTGAGTCACGGGGATGTGGCTTTGTCAGTCACCATCTCACCTTACAGAGAGCTTCATTTTCCCTAAGGGAAAAACACGGCTTGAATTTATGGACTCCATGGCCACACCTTTAGCAGACAGAGGCCATGTGGCATTAGAGAAAGCCCACCAGTTCCCCACAGGTTCAAGGGCACCCTCAGCCGAATACTCCCTGGGGTCTTGGCTGCTCTCAACTCAGACAAGCCCTGGGCAGAGGCTGCTTGACCCACTTCCCTAAGACACCTCCAAACACAATGCAGACAGCCCCCGGAGTGGCGCCAGGGGCGGGCAGAGGTGATGTTGGCGCAGAGATACGGGAGAGACACTCGGGCTTCCCCTCCTCCAGGCCTTAGTGGGCCTTGGTGTCTGGGCCTTGAGGATAAGGTGAGGGTGGGAGCGGGAGACCGCGAATTCACAAGGCCGGGGGCCATGATGCCATTTCCGGCCTGGTCTGTAAGTCACCTCCTGGTCACCCCATCCCAGGGCCTCTTCTTCCCCCAGGGTGGAGTCCAGGCAGCTGTGGGGGCGGACTAACTGAGGAGCGCGAAAAGCCTGGAGATGAAAGATGAGAGATAAAGGCGGCCCTCAGCGGAAGCTGCCCAGCCCTGTGATTACAGTGGCACGAACTCCAGCCAGGTCCCAGTGGGGTCTCTGTCTCCCTGGGGCTTCATTCCCGGTCAGAGAATGCAGTCCTTTCCTGGCAACGGGACTCAGAATGGAATGTTCTGGGACCAACAGGTGTGTAATGAGTGCTACAAATGCTTGCTCAGTGATGTCAGAGGAATTGGGGCTGGCCCTGGGCCAGACGCACAGAGGTGAAGGCTGAGTTTGCTAACCCCAGCTTCTTCCCTCCCTTTCATCTGCTGCTGCCCTCACTCATCCTGGTCTTTCTCCTCTCCCCTCATCTCAAACCTTTCCTTAGGAAAGGGGGTGAGTTTAGACTGTAGTGTAAATGACTGACAGCACTTCGCTGCTCTGCCATCTCCTTTCTTCTGTTATTTTAACAAGCTTGACATGGCCTTCATCTTGGGCTTCTGAAACAAGGATCGCAAATCTCTAGGTTTACCTAGTGATGTGCTGGGGGCTAGACAAAGCCATAGGATAGCATGGTACACCTTTCTGAACATCAGTTTTATTAGATAAGACAACAATTACCAAAACAAACACAGGTTGTAGAGGAGAGAGAAGTTGCTATCACTGTAAAGACAAAACAGAAAGTCTTCTCTCTATATGCCGGTTAAATCTGCTTCTTCCAGGCTGGGAGGAACACAGCTCCCTGACGATCACTCCAGATCACGTCAGCCCCTGATGGGTAGAAGTATCCTGTGATCCTATGACAGCCCTCTAGGTCACTTATAATTTTTTTTTTAAGACGGAATTTTGCTCTTGTTGCCCAGGCTGGAGTGCAATGGCATGACCTCTGCTCACTGTAACCTCTGCCTCCCAGGTTCAGGTGATTCTCCTGCCTCAGCCTCCCGAGTGGCTGGGACTACAGGCATGCACCACCATGCCCAGCTAATTTTTGTATTTTTAGTAGAGACAGGGTTTCGCCATCTTGGCCAGGCTGGTCTCGAACTCCTAACCTCAGGTGCTCCGCCTGCCTCAGCCTCCCAAACTGCTGGGATTACAGGCCTGAGCCACCATGCCCGGCTGGTCACTTGTAATCTTGGATTACAGGTGATGGTTTGGTAACGACTGCTGGTATACCAGACATAAGCTTTTCTAAACACTAACATCATATTTTTGAAATTAAGGTTAGAATTTCTTTTTAAAATTATTTTAATTAAACATTTTTTTGCTTACCTCACAGTAAACAAAGATCAAATGTTAACATTTCTATCAGTGTTACCCCATGTTACTCATTATGAACCTAACCCGGAGCAAAGGGCATGCAGCAGAATGTTCTGCATCTCTTTACCTAAAAGATTCAAAGTTTTAAGAAGTAAAGACAGGACTGAACCAAGTATAAAACTCTGAGAAATCACAAGAAAAAGTCAGCAAAATATACCGGGGGAGAGCCCAGGCCACAAGGACAAAATTCTACAAGGACCATGAAGGGGGGACTAAGAATATTTTATTTAAAAAAAAAAAGTGCCTGGAAGCCAGGAGAAATGCACATCAGATAGGTTATGCCCAGGAGCTGATGGGAGGGTACAGCAGCTGTCACAGATACTGCGGGACCCACTTCACCACCAGGGACCCTGTGCTGACCCTTGCTTGAGGCCTCATTCTGCACCCTTATCTGCTCCAAACTACTTCTCATATTTAGAAGGAGAAATAAACAGGCAGAGGTCACAAACAGACAATTCTCAAAAGATGAGGCCAACACACATAAGAAAAAATGCTCAACAGAGAAATGCAAATCATAACCACAATGAGATACCATCTTATACCAGTCGGAAGACCTGTTATTAAAAAGCCAAAAAATGACATGCTGGGGAGGTTATGGAGAAAAGGGTACACGTGTACACTGCTGGTGGGAATGCAAACTGTTCAGTTTGCTATGGAAAGCAGATTAGAAATTTCTCAAATAATTTAAAACAGAGCTACCATTTGACCCAGCAATCCCATTACTGGGTATATACCCAACGGAATATAAGTCCATCTACCAAAAAGACACATGCAGACGCGGGCAGTGGCTCACACCTGCAATCCCAGTACTTTGGGAGGCCGAGGTGGATGGCTCACCTGAGGCCGGGAGTTTGAGACCAGCCTGGCCAACATGGTGAAACCCCATCTCTACTAAAAGTACAGAAAATTAGCTGGGCGTGGTGGTGGGTACATGTAGTCCCAGCTACTCGGGAGGGTGAGGCAGGAGAATGGCTTCAACCCGGGAAGTGGAGGTTACACTGAGCCAAGGTTGCGCCATTGCACTCCAGCCTGGGCAACGAGTGAAATTCCGTCCCAAAAAAAAAAAAAAAAAAGCCAGGCGCGGTGGCTCAGGCCTGTAATCCCATCACTTTGGGAGGCTGAGGCAGGCAGATCACGAGGTCAGGAGATCGAGACCACCCTGGCTAACACGGTGAAACCCCGTCTCCACTAGAAATACAAAAAAATTAGTCGGGCATGGTGGTGGGCACCTGTAGTCCCGGCTACTTGGGAGGCTGAGGCAGGAGAATGGCGTGAACCCGGGAGGTGGAGCTTGCAGTGAGCCGAGATCATGCCACTGCACTCCAGCCTGGGTGACATAGCGAGACTGTCTCAAAAAAAAAAAAAAAGACAGATGCACGCTTGCCTTAATCGTAGCACCATTCACAATAGCAGGGACTTGGAATCCACTTAAATGCCCATGGATGGTGGATTGGATAAAGAACATACAGTACATATACACCATGGAATACTATGCAGCCATAAAAAGAGTGAAATCCTGTCTTTTGCAACAACGTGGATGGAGGTGGAGGCCATTATCCTAAGTGAATAACACAGGAAGGAAAAACCAAATACTGCACGTTCTCACTTACAAGTGGTAGCTAAATGATGAGTACAGATGGATGCAAAGAAGGGAACAACAGACCCTGAGGATTACTTGAGGGTGGAGGGTGGGAGGAGGGAGAAGATAGAGAAACTACGGGTACTGTGCTCTTACCTGGGTGACAAAATTATCTGTATACCTAATTCCCATGCAACAAGCCCACACATTTAACCCCTGAACCTAAAATAATATCTGAAAAGAAAATACATAAAAATAAAAACACAAAGGTCCTTAATGTCTGGTGGTGTCAAAGACACTTCAACAGACTTTTGACAGAATCTGCTTCTGTTTCCTGAGACTTCTATTTGCTCTTAGGCGGTTGTCTCTTGCTCTGAGACCTCAGAACCCACAGTTCCTAACTGTCCCCTGGCCCGTGAGCTGAGCGGTGATGGGGAATGAGCGGGCGAGACGCGTTGTGGCTTTGCTGGGCATCCCGCCTCTCGCTGGTCATGGGGGCCCTGTTTCTGGAAGGTGACCAGTGACTGGACCATTGCTATATAGGGTGACTGTCGTGTTATCCTTGTGAATTCTTCTTCCCCTGTAAGTCCCGTGGCTTCCTGAAGTGCTCCTTCTTTCTGGACATGCTCTCCACTTCTGGTGGGTGTGCTCCTCCACACTGCCCTGTTTTGGCGGCGTCCTCTCGGCTCTCTGGCGGGCCTCCTCCCCCTTCTGGCTGGCGTGCTCCGCTTTCCGGTGGGTATGCCCCCCCTCGCCCCGCTTTCTGCTGGGCTTCCTCCCTCCTTTCCAGTGGGCGTGCTCCCCCATTTCTGCTGGGCCGCCTCCTTCCGTTCCGGTGGGCATGCTCCCCTTATTTCTGGCAGGCCTCCTCCCCCTCTTTCCAGCACGCGTGCTTCCCCCATTTCCAGCGGGCCTCCTCCCCCGCTTTCCGGAGGACAAGCTCCCCCCACTTCCGGTGGGCCCCCTCCCCCTTCTTCCGGCGGGCCTCCTCCCTCCCCTTAAGCTGAAGTGCTCCCTGCTTCCGGTGGGCCTCAGTCGCATGCAGGACAGCACCGCGTGCGGCAGCTGCTCTGGTGGCCTCCTGCTTACCCGGCCCTCCACTTTACCGTTAGCACGGAGTGCGGCACCCTGCTTGGGCCTTTCGGCTCTGCCTCCCCTGCCCGTCACGGCGGGTCACGACATCGGCCAGGACGCAGCAGAAGGGACAAGACACGCAAAGAAGATGGCGCACCCACCTCGGCACCGAAGGCCAGTGCGACCTCCCGGGAGCAGGCGGGCCAGCACGGGCCTTCCCGGAGGAGACAGCTAAGCCGAGACCTGGGACTGCAGAGGAGAAACAAGGAGGAGGCAGGCGGGGCCCGGTGCCCTCCTCGTCTGCCGTGCCGGGTGGACGGTCTGCTCGCCTGTCTGCGTGACGAAACTGAGGCACAAAGACGCGCTATGCCAGCGGCGGGTATAGCAAGGGCTCCCTCCGCGCCACGTGTTGCCATCCACCACACAGGAATGACCGTCTCCGTGTCATAGATGGGAAACCAGGACGTGTAGGCATCAGGTAACTCGCCGGCCACAAGCTACCCAGTCTAGTAACTCCGACACTGAAGCTTTATGTTATCACCAGGCCCCGTGGCCCCTTCCAGCCTGCAGAGCTGTTAGACGCGTGGGCTGAGTTTCCCGTCCCTGCCGCCTGCTGAAGCTGCCTGAATGCCCAGGCCAGATGGCCCCTCCTGTGGGCCCTAGAGCTCCTTTAAGCCGGCTGGGTTGAAAGGAGCCCCAGGGATGCCACTGCCAGCGACACGTGCAGCCTGGCTACTGGAGGACCATATCCCAGTCTCTCGGGACTCCCGCATTGGGTCTGCTGGTGGGCATGGGGCATTTTTGCCTTTTGTCTGCCAGCAACATTGGCTCAGGCTGGGTCCGCAGCCCGGGCTGCCCTCACCTCTACATCTGTAGGCGATGCTGGTACTGGTTGATGAGGTTGAAAATTCACCTTGGCCAAGAGAGCCTTGGTTCTCCTGGGGGCCCACTGCCTGTTCCTGCCCCCCTGTCTCATCTTTGCTGGCCAGACTGAGGCTCACTGTGTAGAGGTGGATGCCCAGGAGCTTGACTCCCCAGTGACAGAGCAGGAGGCTGGGAGGCCTGATCCTTCTGAGCAGAAGGGACGGACCCAGCCAACAGGCAAGAGAGTGTGGAATAGTAGATTCTGGGCTGGGGCGGCAGCGGCTCAGGCCTGTAATTCCAGCAGTTTGGGAGGCCGAGGCGGGCGAATCATCTGAGGTCAGGAGTTCCAGACCAGCCTGTGCAACATGATGAAAACCCTTGTCTACTAAAACTACAAAAGCTAGCCAGGTGTGGTGATGGGCGCCTGTAATCCCAGCTACTCAGGAGGTTGAGTCAGGAGAATTGCTTGAACCTGGGAGGTGAAGGTTGCAGTGAGCTGAGATCACATCACTGCACTCCAGCCTAGGAAACAGAGTGAGACTGTCTTTTTTTTTTTTTTTTTTTTTTAAAAAAAAAAAAAAAAGATTCCTGAGAGGCTGAGGGGACACTCTGGTCTAGTCTGGCTCAGGTCCAGTGTGCACTTCTTAGCTAAGAAAATTGGCTCCAGTTTAGACCTGGCTGTGCTAGGGCGGCAGAAAAGGAAGTTCTTGATGCTAGCAGCTAAAATGCACAACTCAGCCAGGTGCAGTGGCTCACGCCTGTAATCCCAGCACTTTGGGAGGCCAAGACGGGTGGATCACGAGGTCAGGAGATCAAAATCATCCTGGCTAACATGGTGAAACCCCGTCTCTACTAAAAATACAAAAAATTAGCCAGGCCTGGTGGCTGGTGCCTGTAGTCCCAGCCACTGGGGAGGCGGAGGCAGGAGAATGGCGGGAACCCAGGAGGCGGAGCTTGCAGTGAGCCGAGATCGCGCCACTGCACTCCAGCCTGGGCGACAGAGCGAGACTCTGTCTCAAAATAAATAAATAAATAAATAAATAAATAAATAAATAACAAAATGCACAACTCTTGTGCTCGAATCTGCTAACTCATGCCCTACTGTGCATTCTCACCCTTTCACGAAGTACTAGAGTTGCTAGGTTCTCAGCCTCACCTTCCGCTGACCGTGACCATGTGACAGAAATCCTGGCTCATGGAGTGGGAATGAACAAGATGTGTATGAATTCTGGGTGGTGTGTTTGAAAGGAAGTGGTGTGTCCTCACTTTTTTCTAGGCTGCCTTCGTTTTGGCTTGACTCTGAATATGATGGCAGGAACTGGAACGGTTATTTTGGGTCCCAACATGGAAGTACGTGTTGAGGATGGCAGAGAAAATAAGGTCACACCTCACTTAATGACGAAGATGCATTCTGAGAAATGAGTCACCAGGCGATCTTCTCGCTGTGAGGACATCATAGAATGTATTTACACACTTAGACCGGGGAGCCTGCTACACACCCAGGCTACATGGCGGAGTATTGCTCCTGGGCTGCAAACCTGGGCGTTGTGTGACCGCACTGAATACTGGAGGTAGTTGTAACAGTGGTGTTTGTGTATCTAGACATAGAAAAGGTACAGTAAAAATACGGTATTCTAATGTTACGGGACTTCCGTTGTATATGCAGTCTGTCGCCAGTGTGCCATCGTTATGCAGCCCAAGACTGTAAGTTGAGGGGCTCTGAATCCCTGATGGTTGTGGAGCTGCCATACTGGCTCTGTCCACCACTGGAACTCCGGCATGGCAGTGGCACCGATTCTGTCTAAGCCAGTGTTGTTTGGGTCTGTTTATTACAGAGGTAAGCTGCGATGCTACTACCGCAGCTCAGAGCTCAGCGGGGCTCCCGATGCCCTCGCTCTGGGTGCAGTGGTTTTGTAATTCCTCATGCCTATGGAACACCACGCTACAGGGCTCAGCATATGCTGGGTCTCATCTGCCTGGGGTCACAGGGACTACATATTGGGGTCAGTTTGTAGGAAAACAGAAAAGAAAGCTATTCCAGGCAGCCTCCTTCCTTGCGGGCCTGTGGCCACTTGGTGGGCGGACTGGCCAGTGCTTCTAGAAAGGGGAACTGACCCTGGTTATTTCATTCAAACTGAGGGCAGGGGGAAAAGATTCTGTTCACCAGTCACGGAGTGGCTGTAGACCAGTTTCTCTGTTTGTAAAAACAAACGTCATTGTCCCTCCATAATGCTCTGTCACCCCAGGAACCTGGGGAAACTTTTAAATTCAAGTCTATGGTGGATTGCATTTCTCAGAGACGGCGACCATCTTTGATTTGATGTCTCGTAGTTTGACTTAAGTGGAAAACCACCCAGATGGCATCAGTTCTGTGTCCCAAGGGACAGCCTGACACAGTCCTGGAGCCAGCCTGCCTACGCTTAGGCCCTGGTGCTGCCACACACCCACCAGGGGAGCTTGGCACCCTTCCTGACTTCTCACCTCAGTGATGAGCTTGGCCTTCTGTTGTCCAGCTGGGTCTGGGCTGTGCTGTGGGGAGGGTAGGTGGTCCCCTGGGGCCTACTTGTCCAGGCACAGACGAGAGCATCTCTCACGACCTTTAAGGGCAAGAACAAGTGCCGCTTCTGCTTCCCACAGAACTCCTGCTCTTACCTTCCATTTCTGCATCTTCGCATCTTTGAGCAAGGGACTCGCTCCCTTAAAATAAATATCTTTGTCTCATTGTCCTTTCACGAATGGCCCCTACCTCTCTCCTGGGGAAAGTTTTACTTGATGAATTCCTTCTCCACCTGCCCTGCCCTCTCCCCTCAGGGTACCTGAAGGGGCTGCGAGGGAGGATTTTGTTGTTGAGAGGACTTTATAAATAGATAGATGGGCCCAGCTATCCCAGTTTAGCTCTGATCATCAAGTCCATGCCTAATACTCTATGGCTTTTTCTTTTCTGCTTGGGATGGCATTGATTTTTTTTTTTTTTTAAGATGGAGTCTCACCGTCGCCTAGGCTGGAGTGCAGTGGCGCAGTCTCAGCTCACTGCAACCTCCACCTCCTGGGTTCAAGCGATTCTCCTGCCTCAGCCTCCTGAGTAGCTGGGATTACAGGCACGCACCACCATACCTGGCTAATTTTTGTATTTTTAGTAGAGATGGGGTTTCGCCATGTTGGCCAGCCGGGTCTTGATCTCCTGACCTCAGGTGATCTACCCACCTCGGCTTCCCAGAATGCTGGGATTACAGGCGTGAGCCACCGCACCCGGCCAGCATTGATCTTTTAAGGTGGAAATGACCTAATTGGGAATGGCCTCCACTGCAGAAGCACCAGGTCCTGGTGGGAGGTGCACCTGCAGAAGGCTGGCTGGGAACTTGGGCCGCTCTATGCCAGGCTCCTGCCATCTCCACCTTCAGCCCACTTATTAAATAGGTGGCCAAAGGCCTACTGCATTACCCACTGTGTCTCAACAATCTCTCCTGTAAAATGGGAATAATAAAACCCTTCCATGCCTGAAGGTTCTCCTGAGTTCCCTGCCATCTCTGAGACCTGGAATTTGATGGAAGACTGATAGAGGGATTTAGAAACAACCTCAGACTTTTACAGAGAAGTTACAAGTACAGTAAACATTCTGCACCCCATCCCCCCACCAGAATCATTTGGGAAATAATTGCTGAAATGGTGCCCCAGCATCTCCAACTATTTTGGTGTGTATTTCCTACAAAGAAGGACATTCTGTAGAACTACAATACCAGTATAAAAAACCGACAGAAATGGTGGGCGCCTGGAGAGGACACCATGAGGACGTAACAGCACTTCCTGCTGTTCCTCCAGAGACAAAACCTGGGGTCTCGTGCTTGGAGGCAGGTTTTATCTTTGGTAGGAAATTAGTGTTGCTCGATCACCACCAGCCACTCTCATAGCCTATTCAAGGTTCCCCAGTCTTCTCCATGATGTCCTTTTTCACAACAGAATCCAGTGTAGAAACGCATCACCTGTAGTTTCACATAGATGTATCTCCTTAGACTCCTTCAGTCTGGGAGAGGGCCCCAGTTTGTTACTAACTTGTGCAATCTTTATTTATTTTATTTTATTTTTTGAAATAGTCTCACTCTGTTGCCCAGGCTGGAGTGCAGTGGCGCAATCTCAGCTCACTGCAACTGCCGCCTCCTGGGTTCAAGCAATTCACCTGCCTCAGCCTCCCAAGTAGCTGGGATTATAGGTGCACACCACCACGCCCAGCTAATACTTTTTCTTTTTTAGTAGTGACGGGGTTTTACCATGTTGGTCAGGCTGGTCTTGAACTCCTGACCCCAGGTGATATGCCCGCCTTGGCCACCCAAAGTGCTGAGATTACAGGTGTGAGCCACCACGCCCAGCCGACTTGCATGATCTTAGTCTGAAGCTTTGAGATTCAGGTGTTTATGGGATGCCCCTCAAGTGGGGTTTTCTGAGGTCTTCTCGTGCTTGGAGGCAGGTTTCACCTCTGGTAGGAACAGCAGGAAGTAGTGTTGTGTTGTCATGGGGTCCTCTCCACGGGCACACCATTTTTTGTGTGTGTTTTTTGAGACAGAATCTCACTCTGTCGCCCAGGCTGGAGTGCAGTGGTGCGATCTCCGCTCACTGCAAGCTCTACCTCCCGGGATCACGCCATTCTCCTGCCTCAGCCTCCTGAGTAGCTGGGACTACAGGCACCTGCTACCACACCCAGCTAATTTTTTATATTTTTAGCAGAGATGGGTTTTCACCATGTTAGCCAGGATGGTCTCGATCTCCTGACCTTGTGATCCGCCTGCCTTGGCCTCCCAAAGTGCTGGGATTACAGGCGTGAGCCACCACGCCCAGCCAGGCACACCATTTTCATCTGCCCCTTCCCTGGTGTCACTTCCATCACTCGAAGAAGGTAGAATTGGCCAGGCTTCTCCAGGTGATGTTATTTTTCCTTTGTAATTAAATGTTTTAAGAAGAGGTACTCTGGAACTATATAAATATCTCAATTATAATTAATAATATAACTAATGGATACAATTAATACAGGTGTGGCCTTATGTGGTTTCCCATTTTATTCAATGGGTTGTAATGGGTTACAATCTATTTATTATATTATTTACTTTATGCTCAAATTAGGCCAGATTTGGTCAGCGGGAGTCCCTTCAAGCTGACTTCTGTGTTATTTTGACCTGTCTCCATCGTTCTTTGAGCACTTCCTTACCTTCTGGCCCAAATATATGTTCCAGGCTCATCTTGTCATTTCCCTGCCCAGGCTCTGGAGTCAACCATCTCTCTGAAGAGCTGTGATTCTTTTTATTTTAATTTTTAATTTAATTATATATTTATTCAGATACAGGGTCTTGTTCTGTTGCTCAGGCCGGAGTGCAGTGGTACAATCCCGGGCTCAAGCAATCCTTCTACCTCAGTCTCCCAAGTAGCTGGGACCGTAGGTGTACACCACCCTGCCCAACTAATTTCTTCATCTTTTATAGAGATGGAGTCTCACTGTATTGCCCTGCTGGTCTCAAACTCCTAGGTTCAAGTGATCCTCCTGTCTCGGCCTCCCAAAGTGCTGGGAGGATGGGTGTGAGCCACCACGCCTGGCCTCCCTGATTCTTTTTTAGTGGGGGATGGAAATTCAGAAGTCAGTGTCTGGGTACCGTTTGTGCTCGTGGATATTGGGTATCCCAGCCCTCAGCCCTGAGTGGACTGAGCTGGGGATACATATGCATGTACGTGCTTTACATCCATGCTTGCTTCTGTATCTATCAGTGTCCCACCTGTAGCTGGGACTGCAGGTGTGTGCCACCATGCCCAGCTAATTTTTCATTTTTTTGTTGTTTGTTTGTTTGTTTTGTGAAGACAGGGTTTCTCCATTTTGGCCAGACTGGTCTGGAACTTCTGAGTTCAAGCGGTCCTCCCGTCTCAGCCTTCCAAAGTGCTGGGATGACAGGTGTGAGCAGCTGCGCCCTGGTGAGCTCATTTGTTCTTCTGGACATGCTGGGTCCCTCCCTTCGTCTGTGACTGGCCTCATCCCATGCTGCCTCCTCCCTGGGGGCGCTGCCTCCTCCCTGGGGACGCTGCCTTCCCCCCATTGCCCCCGGCTCTGACACTCAGCACCAGGCCCCCTGCTGCCCAGTAGCTTTCCTCACCCCACCTGGCCTTTGCCATGCCACACCGGGCCTCTGGACCCAGGACCCAGGCTTCCCTCACTTGGGCCCTGATGCCTTCCTCTGCAGAGGCCATCCTGCCCCGCAGACCTCAGCCTTGCCCAGCCGTTGTTCAGGAAGCAAGAGGGATGTGGCCAATGAGGGCCTTCCATGGCACAGAACATTCTAGTCGGTGGTGCTGGTGGTGTTTGAATCTTCGAAACCCAAGATAGGGCCTGCAGTGGACTGGTCCCTCCATACCAAGGCATCTGCCTGGGGCCATCTGTGACCCTGTCTGTGCCTCTTAAAAAGGAAAAGCCATTGGCGGTGCCCAGGAAAGAAATGGGCCCTTTTCTCCTCCAGGGCTTCTACTTTGGCTTCAGGCCACGTTCCCGACCCTGGGTGGGTTAAACTTGAACGCTCCCACTGGTTTCGGGTCTGGTCAGGGGGTTTTCCACATCTTGCCCTGGTTACTCGAGTGTCTGGGGGCAGGCAGGCTGCCAAGGCCTCCCCTGAATCACTCGGCATCTGGGCCCCACCCGGGTGTCGGCCTCAGTGGTGCGTGACGAGAGGCTGGGCTGCTTCTGGATTTCCCCTCAGACCCCTCCTGCGGGGCTTTCGGGACATGGCTTCTCTTGCCTGGAGGAGAAGGGGCTCCGGGAAGCCCTGGCATAGATCATCGGGGAGGTCCCCTGGGGCAGGGCCCATCTCCCACGAGGCTAGAGAAGCCTCCAGCTCAGCCTCCCTGGCTGGCCTGGGCTGCTTTGAAGCCTGAGCTCTTCACAGTCACAGTTTTATAGTCTTGACCTTAAGAAGTGTCCCTCAAAGCATCTAAGCTGCAGGCCCTGTGACCCTGTGCCCTGTGACCCTGTGCCAGCTCTGGCTCTGATGTCACATACGATGTAACTCCCAGGCTCCCAGTTCCCACAGTGGCAGGAAAGGACCGAGAACAAGGCCCCTGTGCAGGGGTCGGCTCAGCGTCGCAGCTGAGAGCGAGGCAGCCTGGGTCCATGTCGCAGCTCTGACATTCATCAGCTATGGGATCTGGATGGTATCTACCTGCTCCGTGCCTCAGTTTCCTGCAGTAGAACCTACTCCACAGGCTCCATGTGGAGATGAAATAACCTAATACTGATATTCAAAGAGAGGGTCTTCAGAGCAGCACTTAGCTGTGTTCTGTTTCTCTCTTTATAAAATGCTGCCATCAAAGGCATCTGCCCTGTGTCCTGGAGAGCCCTCGACCTTCTCATCTTTCAAGGCCAAAGACTGTTCCCTAGCTCCTTTGCCTTGTTTAGCCAAGGTTTGAAAGCCTGGAAAAGATTTCAGAACATTTGGGTTTGGGGATCTTCTGTCTTTGGCTGGTTTGCCAGAGAGTGGCTTGGCTTTGGACACCACACACGGGTGTGTTCGCACGTTGGCAGCAGAGGAAGTGAAGGGCCTGCTGGCCTGCTCCTGGCTCTGTCCTCCAGGAGACGGGCCAGCTATGCCCTGTCCCCACTGGGGGGAAAAGAAGGCCAGGAAAGATTCGGGATTTGGGCCTTCAGGAGGCTGCTGGCTGAGTGGGAGAGTGATGGGAACTGGCTGCTGGAACAACCCCACCCCGCCCCTGCCAGTCTCCGAGGGGGCTTTTATCTGGGGGGCTCCAGCTGAGACCTAGGAGTCCCAGGCCTCCCACAGTTCGGGGATTCTGACCCCTCCTGCCGTCTCCTCCTATGTGTTGGAAAGCTAGGTGTGAAGCACTTGAACTTCGTGTGCATTTTTTTTCTTGTTCCCTCACCAGCTTTGTAAGGCCAACAATGAATGACAGACACCCTAGTTGATCAGGGACGGGGGGCACCCTTGTTCCTCTGGAGAAGCTGCCCACCTAGCCCCTGGCTCTGGAGACAGCTGAGTTCAGCTGCTCCTTGTAATGGAACTCTCCCTGGCACCAGCGGATGGCTCCCAGTGCCTTCCCTTATTCCAGCTTCCCAGAAAGTGCCTGCCACTCTTGTCACCACCTTTTCCTTCCCTTGGCTTCCTCCATCTCCACCCACCCCTGCCTTCAGCTCGGCCTCGTCCATCTGCACCCACCCATCCCCTCTCAGCTCGGCCTCTTCCATCTCCACCCACCCATCCCCTCTCAGCTCGGCCTCTTCCATCTCCACCCACCCATCCCCTCTCAGCTCGGCCTCTTCCATCTCTACCCACCCATCCCCTCTCAGCTCGGCCTCTTCCATCTCCACCCACCCATCCCCTCTCAGCTCGGCCTCTTCCATCTCTACCCACCCATCCCCTCTCAGCTCCGCCTCTTCCATCTCTACCCACCCATCTCCTCCCAGCTCCGCCTCTTCCATCTCCACCCACCCATCCCCTCCCAGCTCGGCCTCTTCCATCTGCACTCACCCCTGCCCTCCCAGCCTGGCCTCCTCCATCTGCACTCACCCCTGCCCTCCCAACCTGGCCTCTGCTCACCAGCCCGGCCCACTCCCTCTTCAGCCAGTTCTAGGGACCCAGAGGGCCATAGCTCTGCAAGTGTCACAGGGAAAGTATGTAATGTCCATCCTAAACAGATGCTTTTGAAACTAAAAGGGGCTGGGGGACACCAAGCATAACCAGGACTGCCCTGGCCAGTCTGTGGGTAGGCTGTGTGGTCACCCTGTTCAAGCCGGGAACATTTTGCCCTTTGGCTTAGCCCTGGCTGCTGGCTCTGCACTGGCCTGCCTTTTCCTTCCGGAATCACTAACTCCAAGGCATCCAGTCACTCAGCATAGGCCGGGCCCTGTCTTCTCTGACTGCTAGAGCTGGCTTGTCCAGGCTGGCCAGACTGATGGGTACAATTTCAGGAATTTTACAAGCCAGGTGTTAATCACAGCCATCATTTTAAAATTAGGCAAATGTACAATCAAATAATAAGACAAAGGTAATAAGTACTCTAAATTCATGACTTCCTAATCATACCACTTTTTTTTTTTTTTTTTTTTTTTTGAGATGGAGTCTCTGTTTCCCAGGCTGGAGTGCAATGGCATGATCTCGGCTCACTGCAACCTCCACCTCCTGAGTTCAAACGATTCTCCTACCTCAGCTTCCTGAATAGCTGGGATTACAGGCGTGCACCACCATGCCCGGCTAATTTTTCTGTATTTTTAGCAGAGACGGGGTTTCACCATGTTGGTCAGGCTGGTCTTAAACTCCTGACCTCAAGTGATCTGCCTGCCCTGGCCTCCCGAAGTGTTGGGATTATAGGCATGAGCCACCGTGCCTGGCCCATATCACTATTTTCTATAATTTGGATGTTATGTATGTCCACTGTGTCTGTGTGGAGGGAGGCCACCACGTGATGGTTTGCTCGTGCGTGTCTCTTCCTGACTCTGAGCTCGACACCGTCAGGTTGATAGCTGGAAATGGGCCACGGTGTGAATATTTACACCATTGCAATTGGCAAATGCTGTAAATCAAGGCTTGACTTATGGTTCTGTTGATTATTCTTCACAGTGATGTTAGTAATACAGATTAAACTTAACAGTGCATTGTACCTGTAGCCATTCCATTGTGAATAACACAAAAAGTGGAGGAAATATTTTTCTCGCATTTGGAAATTATTCTGTGATTCAGCAAAGAAGTTGTTCATGTCATTAACAAGTTCAGAAATACATGCTGCCAAAGCCAAAAAGAGTCTTCAGTTTAATAAAAATAATTAACAGGAAGGTGAGAAATGGTTTACCAGCTGTTCACTTACTGGATTTAAGGTTACTTGTTGGGGAAAGAGCAGAGTAAGATGCAACTCTGTCAAATCATGGCTGAATATGTTTGGCAAAAAATCAATAAAAATTCTGTGAGCATCAATCTGTTATGTGAAATTGAATTTTTAACATTATTTGTAAATTGTGTGCTCTGTATCCTTTGTATCATTAGAATTTATAAATTTATAAGTAAACATGTTTCTTTGGAGAGCCAGCTGCTGAACAGTTACCAGCACACTGCTGCCCACCTCCTTTGCCTGGGCTGGGTTGGTGCCTCTCTTTGCTGCTCCCACAGAAACCTGTCCAGAATTCTAATGTGACACCGCTTCGTGTGTCTCACTTACTGAACTTATTGAGGACACAGTGACCTTTGTGGCTCCAGCACTTAACATGATGCCTGGCACATACTAGGTGCCCTCCCCAAACTGAGCGAATGAAGGGGTTGAACAGCTGAGGGGGTGAGGACTGGATCGTGCTCTCCCCATGGCATTGCTGCTTCCTGGAGAGGTGACTGCATTTCCTGGTCCCTCTGCAGTGGCTGTGGCTGTGTGGTGAGTGAGACGTGGAAGGGTGATGCCAGCCAGCTTCAGGCCTGCCCTCCAGTGAATCCATGAGACCCTCCAAATCCCTCTCCTTCCCTACAGCCTCTGGGAGCATCAGAGGCCACGTGTTCCTGCTAGTGTAGCTACAGGGTAGAAAAAGGATGCCTGGCCCACAAAGTGTGAGTAAAATAAGCTTATTTTGTTAAGCCGCTGAGATCACAGGGTCTGTTTGTTACCACTGCATAGCCTCATCCATCCTGACTAATCCAATGACGCTGAAGCCCAGCAATGGAGGTGACTTGGGCCGGGCCGTACCTTCCGTTAAGTGGCAGGCCCAACCCAGAGCCCATCTTCATTGTCATTCTACCTCCTACCTCTGCCCATTTCCTCCCTCCTAAACACTTTTTTGGAAATACAGAAGAAAGTGTGAATGTGAGGTGGGTTTTGTTCTAAGCCCTATTTCAGACAATACCTGGTTAGGACCCACGCATGGTGATGCCTCCAATGGCAGCCAACCCAGGAAGCACACTCGCCACACAGCCTGTCATTAGAGGATCAGCCGGGGCGGCTGACGTCTGGGATTCAGTCTCCCATTAAGTGTTATTAGCCTTAGCCTCGGTGAGGTTTCACCCACAAACAGCCTCCCTGGCCTTGTCATTTACCACTTCCTTTGCTTTATCTAGACCAGATCTGGTACTTGGGCGGATGGAAAACCAGCTTTGGACATGACACTCTCTCGGGTCCCAAATGCCAAGCAGGACAAACGGCTCCTTATTCTCAGCTGAAAAAAACCTCAGCTTAGTTGCACGAACGTTTAAATGTGGATTACGAGTCGGGCATGAGGCTGTTTACTGTAGTACAGTACATATAGTGTAGCCTAGTACAGGGCAATATGTGTAGCATAATTATAGTACAGTATAAGTCTAATACATGTCCAGTATAATGTCATAGATCAGTACAATATGCATAATATTCATGGTACAATATGGTGGTACAGTATAATAAGCTTAATTCGCATAGTCTTCTCTGCCTTGTTCCTTCCTCTCCTGAAAGCCTGGCTACCTTCCCTTTGATTGCAAACGGGGAGGCTGAAACCATCAGGTTGGAGTCACAGAGGCCAGATCAGGGCTGTGACTTGGGTGAGCTGGCACATTCCTAACTCCTGATTACCTGGTGATGACACTGGCCTTCAACTTCCTTGGCCCCACCCAGTCTCTCCTGGGCAGGGATTCCATCCATGACTTCTGCTTGACCCTGAAGCACTATTCTTGGCTTTGCTTTCTGTCTTTACCACGAGAGTAGGCAAGCTCCTCAAGAGAAGAGTCTTGCTTCGTGTTTTGCTTTTGTTATACTGTATCCCCAGCATCTAGGATGGTGCCCGAGTATTTGTTGAATGACTGCTAGACTGTGAGGCCTGTGTGGGCAGGGTGCCCCCACTCATGGCACAGTGCTCTATACAGGGACTTTAGAGACTGACAGCGCCACGTGGGTAGCCCCCACCTTCCTCACGCCTCTGACTCCTGACTGGCTCTAGGTCTCTGCACAGGCTGTGCTCTCTGCCTAGAATATTCCCCTTGGCGTCCTTCCAGCCTTCCCTGACCACTGCCCCGTACTTGGTCTCCCAGCCCCACGTCTCCCCTGTCACAGTGCTGCCACACCTTCTTGCAGGTAGCTTGATCACTTGTCTGTCCTCTCCCCTCCCCTGGACTGCGAGCCTGGGGAGTGTGGGGCTGTCTGTCCTGCTCACCACTGTATCCTCAGGATGGCCTTGGACACACATAACAGGCGCCACATGCTAGAAGGACGAACAAAGGAATAGCTGGCCACAGCCAGGTGTGGCCTTGTGAGCTACTCGAGGGACACCCGGAGGTCACGTACGGAGGTGCAGGAAGTGTGGCCTGGCTCCGTGTCAGGTTGAAGCTGCTCCGGTCGTCGGTGGTCATGCTCAGGACCAAGAAAGTGGCTTGGGCCTACTATTCTGTCATCTGAGCTGGACTCTCTGCTTCCTAAATTGTGACATATGCTCACGGTGACGCTTCTGAGCCACTCTTGTTTATCAGTGTTCACACAGTGATTCACTTTAAGAGCTACTTATTAAACACCTACTATGTGCCAGATGCCATGCTAGGTACTGGGGGTGCAGAGATTAGCACAGTGGGGCCCCACCTCCAGGAGGTCACAGCCCCATGCCTGTGCTGCGCCTGAGCGTGCATCTCCTCCTGTGCACCTCGGGGGAGCGCGCTGGGTTCTGTTTGCCAGCCCAGTGCATTGAGATCACACCTTCCTGGAGCCCACCCCAGAGTTTCTGATCCATCAGGCGTGAGGCGAGTCTGATCATGTGTGTGCCTCTCAGATTCCCCGGTGCATGCTCTGCCATCAGGGGCCTGCACTCAGAAGCCCTGCCCTAGACTGTGCTAGGCTGGCAGTTTTCACGAGTCCTACACATCCACGACCTAATCACTTAGTCTTTCAGTCTCCCTCTCCTTGGTAACTTCAGTGCACACAGCAGGGGAGAGTCGGCGTTGTGTCTCGGGCCCAGGTCTTCCTGTTGGACGCTGCCCTCTCCTAGCGGCACCGGGTGGTACAGGAACAGTTTCTAGTGCCATCAGAGTTCTAGGAGAGCTGTGGGGCCCGGCCAAGGGAAGCTGTGGGGAATTGGTGGAGGCTTCCCAGAGAAAGGCCAGAGGAGGCCATATCTGGGAGGCAGTGTGGCGGGTTGCCTTTCCGTTCTGGAAGGAGCACTGGCTTGGCAGGATGGGCGGAGGCAGAGCGGCTCGTGGGCAGGGCCCCAGGCCCCTACCTAGAAGGCAGAGGAGGGGCAGGTGGCGCTCCCTACTGGGCGGTCCTCCTCTCCCTCGGCGGCTGGGACTTAGGCCTGGGTCATCCCACCTCTGCGCAGGCCCCAGCGGGAGGTCAGGGCAGCCTTGGCCTGAGGGTGCTGTGCGTGATGGCCAGGCTGGGGCCTGTGGCGCTGCAGTTCACACAATCACCTCCTCTGTGCCAGCCCAGGTGGCCGTGGGACTCTGGGCCTCATAGTTTCCAGTGTCCCTGGACTGGGCCGGGCTGGTCCAGGTTCAGTGCTGTCTCATCAGAAGAGGCTGGGAGGGAGGCACAGGGAGGGCCTGGCTCTGCGAAGAGCTCCGTATTTCCACGGGCAAGGGAGGGAACGTGGAAAAACCTGCGCTGGGGTGGGCGGCTTCCTCCCGTGTTGTCTCTGAGCAGGAAGCCAGGCCTGCCCAGCCTCGGGGAAGAAAAATAAACTCTGGACACATATTTGTAGAAAGTGGGAAAGCCCTGTTTCTCAGGGGGTGGTGAAATTTATACGTAAAACTGGCTGCTCTGCTGAAGTCCCCACTGACTATCAGGGAGGGGCCCACGATGCAGGGTGGCTGGGGCTGCCTCTCCCTGGTCGGGGCTGCCTGTTCCTGGTGGGGGCTGGTTGTTTCTGGTAGGAGCTGGTTGGTTGTTCCTGGTCAGGGCTGGTTGGTTGTGCCTGGTTGGAGCTGGTTGGTTGTGCCTGGCTGGGGCTGGCTGGTTGTGCCTGGTTGGAGCTGATAGGTTGTCTGTGGTCGGGGCTGGCTGGTTGTGCCTGGCTGGGGCTGATTGTTTGTACCTGGCTGGGGCTAGTTGGTTGTCCCTTGTCGGGGCTGGTTGGTTGTCCCTGGTCGGGGCTGGTTGGTTGTGCCTGGTCGGGGCTGGTTGGTTGTTCGGTCCCTGCTCAGGGCTAGTTGGTTGTCCCTGGTCGGGGCTGGTTGGTTGTCCCTGGTCGGGGCTGGTTGGTTGTCCCTGGTCGGGGCTGGTTGTTTGTCCCTGGCTGGGGCTGGTTGGTTGTGCCTGGTCGGGGCTGGTTGGTTGTGCCTGGTCGGGGCTGGTTGGTTGTGCCTGGTCAGGGCTGGTTGGTTGTCCCTGGTCAGGGCTGGTTGGGTGTGCCTGGTCGGAGCTGGTTGGTTGTTCCGTCCCTGGTCAGGGCTGGTTGGTTGTCCCTGGTCAGGGCTTGTTGGTTGTCCCTGGCTGGAGCTGGTTGGTTGTCCCTGGCTGGAGCTGGTTGGTTGTCCCTCCTGGGGCTGGTGAGTTGTCTCTGGCTGGGGCTGGTTGGTTGTCCCTGGCTGGAGCGGGTTGGTTGTGCCTGGTCGGGGTTGATTGGTTGTCCCTGGCTGGAGCTGGTTGGTTGTCCCTGTTTGGGGCTGGTTTGTTGTCCCTGGTCAGGGCTGGTTGGTTGTCCCTGGTCAGGGCTGGTTGGTTGTCCCTGGCTGGAGCTGGTTGGTTGTCGCCAGTCAGGACTGGCTGGTTGTCCCTGGCTGGGGCTGCCAGGCCCATGGGCTTTCACTCCTGCGTCTGGTCTTGCTCCCGAGTTCCCAGGGCCATGTAGGAATTCCCTGCGGTGATGATGGGGATGAGGAAGGTGTAAGCCAGGCACACGCCAAGCACCTGACATTTGCGTTGCTGAGGCCGGTCCTTGAGGACAGTCTCTCTCCCTAGCCCTGGCCCTGCCTCTGCGCGTCATGGGGAGGGGAGACCATGTTCTTAGGAACGGCTCTTTCCATCCCAGGCAGTCTGAGTGCTCTACAGTTCCCCGGACTGAGTCGAAATCTCTCTACCTGTCCTCTCTGTGGCCACACAGAATGATCTAGTGTAATGGCCCCTCAGCCTTTGGAACCTCCCAGCTGTCTGTACTTCCTGAGTCAGTGTGCTCTGTGCTTTCCACTGGCTCTGGGCTCCTCTGGAAGCTGCAGGCTTCAATGTGGAATTGAAAATCCAGCAGGGTACACTGACAGCAAAATGTACCTTTGAAACCAGGAGGATCTGGTTTTTAGAAACAGCAAGCAGTCCCTTGGGATCAAAACTGTATGAGGTGGATGATTGAGCTGACAAAAAAACAAAAATCTGGTTTAAAAGGAAAACTTGAGTGATTTTAAAAACCCAGCCTAGTCGGGCACGGTGGCTCACCCCTGTAATCCCAGCACTTTGGGAGGCCAAGGATCACGAGGTCAGGAGATTGAGACCATCCTGGCTAACAAGGTGAACCCCGTCTCTACTAAAAATACAAAAATTAGCCGGGCATGGTGGCGGGCGCCTGTAGTCCCAGCTACTCCGGAGACTGAGGCAGGAGAATGGCGTGAACCCGGGAGGCGGAGCTTGCAATGAGCAGAGATCGCGCCACTGCACTCCAGCCTGGGCGACAGCACTCCAGCCTGGGCGACAGAGCAAGACTCCATCTCAAAAAAACAAAAACAAAAACAAAAAAAAAAACAAAAACCTGGCCTAAACCGGCACTGAAAGTAGTTATTTCTAGAGAAATTTACAAAAGATAATCGAAATGATAGCAAGGTTACTAGACAAAGTGTGGGGCCTCCCAAGGCAAGGAGACCTCAGTTCCTTGACAGCTGGCACACCCAATAAAACAGAGACAAAAATGTCAGCAGTGCCACTGAGGAATATTGGCAGAATTGTGATAATTTGTGACAGGGCAGGAGGGGGCCAACAGTTTGTAGGGTACCTGTGTCACGATGGAGCTGCAGCTGTAAATGTGTAAGGCGAAATACCACCTGGTCCCTGCTGCCCCCTGAGCTGGGGTCGGGGTGGAGGCAGAGGCAGGCCTGGGCAACGCAGTGCTTCCCAGATACTGGGTCGGAGCCAGGCCCCTGGACTCTCCACGGAAGCCTCCTTGCCTTTCTAGCAACAACCACGGCTTCAAAGGCCTGCCAAGGAGCTGATCGGGCAACCCCGGGAGCTTGTGTAGCCGTGTTGTGCGTGGCAGTCCTGCAGGTCGGGGCGCTGGAAACTCCTACAGGCAATTCCAGTTTCTAGAACCAGCTCCTAAGTGGGGGAAGGGAGACAGAGGCCACCAAAGGACCTGCCTGGAGCTGGGTCCCCAAGGCCGAGGTCACAGGCACCAGATATCAAGGACCTTCCCCACCCACTGCCTTGGGGGCCCTTCTCAGGCCCAGACTCACCCCCCCACCTCCCTTTCCTCTTGGAAACTGCCCTTTGCCCCCACTCCCTCTTCCTGCCAAGGCTGCCCTCAAATGGCCCAGCCTTCAGCTGCCTTTCCTTGTCACCCCTCTAAGTGGCCTCGTCCCTATTACTATGCCCCTGAAGCCTACCTAAAGATCAGGAGGAGCTATGGGGAGAAGGGGGCCAGTTTCGTTCAGGAAGTGACTCCGTGGGTGGCAAGGAAAGAAGGGAAGCAAGAGGGCAGGACACACTGGAGGGTGCAGCCCGGCCGCCAGGGCAGGGCACCCGCAGCAGCCCCCAGAGGACCCGAGGAGAGAAGTGAAGCCTCCCTGTTCCATGTGTAAGCTGCTGGGACGGCCCCACCTGTTAGGTGGCCGTAGGGAGGAAGGAGCCACCATCTAGCACTGCTCAGTGTCGGCATATGGAAGGGACGCAAAGATTGGCTGAATGCATGAATGAACGAATGAGACTGTCATATCTGGCATCTCCCCACTGCCACCAACTGTTTTACATGATAGATGTTTTTAAATTCAGTTCCTGTGGCTTTTAAGATTGGACGGAAGGGCCAGGCACGGTGGCTCACGCCTGTAATTCCAGCACTTCGGGAGGCCGAGGCAGGTGGATCACCTGAGGTCAGGAGTTCGAGACAAGCCTGGCCAACATGGCGAAACCCTGTTTCTAGTAAAAATACAAAAATTAGCCAGGCGTGGTGGAGGGCGCCTGTAGTTTCAGCTACTAGGGAGGCTGAGGCAGAATTGCTTGAACCCGGGAGGCAGAGGTTGCAGTGAGGTGAGATGGCGCCACTGCGCTCCAGCCTGCATGACAGAGAGAAACTCCATCTCAGAAAAGAAAAACACACACACACACACACACACACACAAAGACTGGGCTGAAGAATGAAGAGCCTCACAGAAAGCTTCACAGTCACATGGGTGATGAATTAGGGAAGTCACGGCCATGTGAGCCCCTCAGTCCTGAGTTGGGAAGGCAGGCGCAGGAGATGGGGCACCTCAGCTGCTCCGATATCTGGGCATGGCCAGGCCTTCTTAAGCCTTCTTACTCTTTGAAAACCATCTTCCCAAGCAGAGATTATTTTCCCCAAATTCAATACACCAGACACCAAGTGAATAGCCAGGTAAAAGGGATACAGTCTGTCTGATTTCAAGGACCAGGAAGCTTGTACAGTCCGAGAACCAGTTGGAAACTGAAGGTGGCCAGGTGGCATTGCTGGCACCGTAACCTGTCAGGGACATGGGTTGTATGAGGACTTGGGCCATTGCATAAGGGCCACAGAGGGCCAGGGTGTCTTCAGGAACAAGGGCAGGTCCCTTGCTGCCATCCTCACACTCACAGGCAGTTCATGGGGTGAAAGGCAACGTGCCAGCCCCACAGTCAAAGGAGCCTGGGCCTGAATGGGAGCTGTCCCTTAGTCATGCGCGCAGGCTGTGCAGGCCCGGCACGCAGCTCCCTTGTTCATTCAGCCCCACCCCTGAAAGGCATTTCCAGAATTTAGGTCACTACTGTTGGCAGCGTTGCTTCATACACAAACACTCTGAGGTTAAAGTTTATGAAGGGTGACCTGTTTATCAACCACTGAGTTCCAGCAGCCTCCGCTTGCAAATGTGAATTCTGATCTTGGGCTAGGGTGGGCTGGTCACAGCTCTGACTGCAGTAGGGGATATGGGGGTGGGGGTCGCATGCTGGCCTGGGGTTCCTGCTGTCTACCCAGCCTGCAGCAGAGAGGCCTGGGGCTTTGAGCATGCCTAGAGCGGGTTGTACTTCCAGATGCTCCCGAACTTCAAAAGCAAGGGTCAGTGGGGAACAGGGCGACCAGGGCTTTAAAGCAGCCTCAGGAGCGAGGAAAACCTGCCTGAAACCCAAGCAGTGAAGCAAGAGGGGACCCAGCCCGACCCCGCCTTGCTCCAGATCCTCCTGTGCCCAGGGCGGAGAGGTCTGGCTGTGGACCCCGCACTCAGATCTGGGGATTGCAGTGGGATCCAGGCAATGCTGGGGCGCTGTGACCCTGCTGCACTCTGCAGGGTGATTGGGGTGCTTCTCCCCTAGGCTGGAGTTTGCCGTTTTGAGGCTGTTTAGGTCATTACTGGGAGTCACCATGCGGCGGCTTCTTAGCCGGTTGTTGCATAGGAAGCTCCTACAGTCTACATAAAAAGCAAGCCTGGAGGACACCCTTTTGGGCTCCTGGGGGTTGGCTCCCCGTCTCCCCCCAGGACAATACGCAGGAGGAAGCATGAAGTCTGCTTCGCTGAGTGATGGGCATTTCATAAGTCTTGTGGATTTGGAATGCAGAGGGCTGAGTTCTGCTATCTTGTTTGGAAGAGGCCTTTCAGAAAGCCTTTATCTGTCAAACGCCAGGGCGGACTGTTGCCATGGTGAAAAGCGTGGGGTGGGAGGGCCCCAGGGCTTTTTCTTCTGTGGCTGGCTGGATCCCCCCACAAGGCTTTCATGCCGAGAGAAAGTGGTGATTCTGGCGGTGAGGGAGAAGCCCCAGAGGCCTGGGGGAGGTAGGCCACGTGGAGCTGGGTTCCCAGCCACGCCTCCGCTTCAAATTCAATGACAGAGCACGTGATTTCCCAGGAAACGGAGGCTTGCAGCTCTGTCTTCTTTCCTCAACTATTTGAAAGCAGGGCTTGTCCAACTAGCAGATTAGAAAAGGAGATGGAACTTGTTCCCCCTACTTAAAAGCAGGGGAGAGAAAAGCCTTGTGAAGAGAAGACACAAAACCTGTTTGGTGACTTGTCCTTTCAATGAAAACACAAACCTCTCCAGGTGAGCACTCCCAACTCCTCCCCTTCCTCCTCCCCCTCCTCCTCCCCCCAGCAGCCCTGGCGGGGACCACAGCAAGATGAGAAGAAACAGGAAAACAAGGCGACTGCTCCCTCAGAGTTCACCATTCTTTGATGACAGAAGTTTAAGAACTCAGGGAAGCAGTTTAGGGGAAAACAAGTTTATTAATCTCGCCACGTCACAGCGATAAATACACGCAGAGAAACAGTGCCTTCCTGAGGGGAGTCACCATCGGGAAAACAGCACAGCAGTTAGGAGTTTCTTTTTTTTTTTTGGGGACAGAGTCTCACTCTGTCGCCCAGGCTGGAGTGCAGTGGCGCAATCTCGGCTCACTGCAACCTCCGCCTCACGGGTTCACGCCATTCTCCTGCCTCAGCCTCCCAAGTAGCTGGGACTACAGGCACCCGCCACCACGCCCGGCTACTTTTTGTATTTTCGTAGAGATGGGGTTTCACTATGTTGGCCAGGCTGATCTCGATCTCCTGACCTTGTGATCCGCCCACTTCGGCCTCCCAAATTGCTGGGATTACAGGTGTGAGCCGCGGCGCCTGGCAGGAGTTTCTCGATAAAAGTAAATTGTTGTCATATTTTTTCTCTTTCATTCCTCTTTATTAACCATTAAATAACTGATTTCCTTAGATTACCTATTGTATATTAAAAAAAACTCCACCAAATCCTCTGACAAGTCAGAATCCTCACAGCCAGAGGTGTGGAAATTTAAGGAGAATCCATTTCTTTTTTCTTTTTTCGAGACAAGGTCTCGCTCTGTTGCCCAGGTTGGAGTGCAGTGGCAAGATCTCGGCTAACTGCAACCTTGACCTCCCAGACTGAAGTGATACTGCCACCTCTGCCTCCTAGTAACTGGGACTATAGGTGCATGCCACCAGGCTGGGCTATTTTTTTTTTTTTGTAGAGATAGGGACTCACTATATTGCCCAGGCTGGTCTCGAACCCCTGGGCTCAATCGATTCCCCCCACCTCGGCCTCCCAAATTTCTGGCATGAGCCACCGGCCAAGAGAATGTATTTCCGATTTTGTGTTTTTAAATAAAACAGTAAATCCTAAGGTTTCCATAAGGCCTTGCTCATCACCTCTGCTCAGCTCTTTACAGCTGGTTTCAAATGGGCATCCTACAGTGGAACTCTGCACCAGGAATTTTGAGTGAGGAATCCTAGAGTCAGAAGACAGCTTGTATAGCCCAGGAGGGGCTGAAGAGCAGGCAGGCAGTGTAGGCTGCGAGCCCCATGCCTGGGGCCGCCCTCAGATGCCTGTGAGTTTGGTCAATAATTCATGAAGCCGAGGGCTCTATCATTAAACACCATGGAGAAGTTGTCCCCCGAATTCTTGATGAAAGCATCCCAGGATCTGTGTCTGTCTTTCCTGTCCCTTCTCTCCTCAGCCAGCCTTACAGGAGAATGCGGGCAGGGGAGAAGCAAAGATCAACATTTCTGCCAGTCTCACAAAGTTGGGTATGCATGCTAGGAACCAAGTATCAGAAAGGGGAGGAGGAGGAGAGGACTGCGGCTGATGCTGTGATCCTGTGTTTGGTGTTGCCATCTGCCCATGGGACTCTGGTTTGGCCATTTGCACACAACTTTTGAAAAGGAAAGGATATGGCTGGGGCAGTGGCTTACGCCTGTAATCCCAGTACTTTGGGAGGCCAAGGCGGGGGGATCACATGAGGTCAGGAGTTCGAGACCAGCCTGGCCAACATAGTGAAACCCCATCTCTACTAAAAATACAAAAGTTAGCCCAGCATGGTGGCACGTTCCTATTATCCCAGCTACTCGGGAGGCTGGAGGTTGCAGTGAGCCGAGATCATGCCACTGCATTCCAGCCTGGGCGAAGGTGATTCTCTCACTCAGTTCTTGGGAAGAGGGAGACAAGACCATCTCAAAAAAAAAAGGGTATTTTTTTTTTTTCTGATTTAAGCATTAAGATAAAGAGTTTTGTAAAAGTGGAGAATGATTTCCAGCATAACTTGGGGAAAAAAGTGGGGCATTTAACACTTCATCTTTCCTTTCCATTACGGTTTTGCTTTGAGATATGCATGGTCCTTCAAATTACCATGAACCAGATGACCTTTAAGAAATCACATCACGTAATTATGGCAAGGAAACTAATGCCTCTCCACAAACTGGGTTTGCTAACATAAGTACACTTAAAGGTTAGTTTAGCAGCAGCTATAATTTGAACTTTGTACAAAACATATGGCTATAATTAGTAGGGTTTTAGACACAAGAAATGACCAGAGTGACAGTCAGTGTAACTATGAATAAAGAGAAGAAATTATGAATAAATAGAAGGAAAGGGTATAACCATTTAAAAGAAAGTAACTGAGAATATAGCATGCAATGCAAAAACAAGCTTACTTAAGAAAAAACTCTTAAATTTATTTTTCAAAAATGTGATTATGGCAACAAATAAACTAATATGCAGTCCAGTTCACCCTACTCACAGTGAAATCATAGGGTCAGTGAAAAAGATGCAGTCCTCATGTATAAAGAATATTTAAAATGTCGGTTGTATCAAGACCTTCTATTATTGAACACTGTATGGCATCTTGCCTTGTAAAGAGCAAACACAGCCCTTATAAATCCTTTAAACCAATCCAGCATTAACAGGAGTAAAATTTACAGTAACTACTTTTGAAAGCTGTAAAATTAAAGCACCTATTTAAATTAAGATCAGGAATCTATGAGGTTATTATTCATAAGAGCTGGATGAAACTAAATATTGCATTTCTAAGGAAAAAATTATAATCATGCACTTTATATAACTTACAAGGCAAATGGGATACTATGAAAAATGCCCTTCATAGCACATTTAAGCCTGAATTTAAGTAATACTCAACGGGAAAGAAACAGGCTCTGTTACGGCGCTGGCGGAGACATAAAAACACAAAGGTGTCACTGCTCAGGGCAGCCCTTCCTGTCTATTTTTAGAGGTCTAAGACTCCAGCCTTAAATAGTTTTGATGATAACGCTTGTGGCATAACTCAGCGTGTAAGACATAGTCTGGGAGGAAACCGGTTCTTTTCCTGCTGTGTAACCTCATTCACTGGTTTTTCCCTACCCTGAGATCTTGCTTGTGGAACATGACAGTCGGTGGATCTTTAAGAATCTTTTGCTTCCTTCTGTTGACTGGCTACCTCGGAACATGCAGAACTAAAATTGGATGATAAAGGAGATTAGTTTTCTAAAAAGTTCCTTCTTTAGTGAACAGTCTTGCTTACTTGGAAGCAGGGAATATTACTTTAACTGGGAACAGAGGAACATTTTGTTGAGGATAAAGCACTTTTGGTTCACCAAAATATCATGGAGACGTGTCCTTAAGACACTTCCATACTAGGAAGTAACAATTTCTTGTATCATCCATCAGGATGCTGAGGTGGCTCTGTCTACCCAAGAATAGGAAGCGCTGGCATCCTGTAGTGACTTAGGAGGGTGTTCAGAAGTTTCTATTTATATAATAATGATGCATGTGGACACACAGGATACCTATGCATGTATGTGTTGACACGTACGTATCTAAAAACATACACACACAAACACAGGCTCACGCACACGTCCCAGACCTCAGAGTCTGATGAGACTTGCTTTCTCAAAATTACCACCTTTCCATTTCACTCCCAAAACTCAATATCTAAAGGTTTCATTTCAGTTTTCAGTAAAAAACAAAACTGGGCAAACTAAAGTACGTCAAGAAACAAAAGCAAAGTACCATGATGCCTCACCCTTCAAAAACAAAAGCAAGTATATTAAGACATTAAAAAATGAAACAAGCATTTTTTTTTATTATTTTCTTAGAAAAGGCGGCGAGAATCCTGAGTGGAAGGGATCTGAACTTTCATGTCATGTACTTCGAGAAGAGGGTAGATGAGACTCAAGAATGATAATCAGACCAGTCCTACTCCTCCCAACCCCCAAAAGATGGCATTTACACATCACGGAAACCTATGGGTCTAACAGGTTATTCTCTCTCTCTCAGTTCTTGGGAAAAGGGAGACAAGCCCTCGGCCAGATTCCTTTAGGGAAGAGTTCTCTGTGCCGGTGGCTGGAGCTTGCGGTGCGTGCTCAGCCAGGAGGCCCCAGCCAGGCACCTCTAGACTCCGATGTGCCACAGAGGGCAGGGGCTCCCGCTGTCACTTCCATTTTAGACCAAACAGCTCCTGGGTGCAGCGACTCTTTCACCCTCTCTTCAGGGTGGGGAGAAACGGGGTGGACTGGAGCCCGCGCGGCCCTCACGAACTCTCCCTGAGCAGCCCCAGCTTCCGCAGGGCCTCCCTGCGCGCCTCCTCCGAGGAGCCGCGGCCCGCGAACTGCACGGTGATGCCCTGGGGCCGGGGCAGGGAGTCTGCGCGGCGCCAGTCCTGGGCGCCGTTGGGCTGCCGGGGCCCGGGGAAGCTCTGACGGGCCCGCGTGCTGGGCAGGGCCGGGCCAGGGCGGAAGCAGAGGGACTTCCCAGCGGGCGCGAAGGAGCTGGGTGCGCTCTTCAGGGCCTCGTGCGCACTTGGGAAGCCGTTGGCCAGCGCCGGGCCCCGCGGAGCCTGACCCCCTGCCCGGAGACTCTCAGCGGGGCCCGGCAGGCCCCGGCCACGCGCCACCCGCTCCGGGGAGGAGCCGCCCCCTGGGGCCCCCTCGCCGGCGTCCCCCGCGGCGGGGAAGGCGCCGGCGTGGCCGTGGATGGTGGCCAACACCTGCGCCCTGCGCTCCTGCACGCTGACGGCCGCCCTGGACAGGGTCCTGCGGGGCTCCCGGGCCGCGCCGTTGGTGACGATGATGTTGCTGGGGAAGCGGGGTGCCTTGGGCTGCGCCGGGTGGCTGGGCCCCGGGCCAGGGTCTCCACTGCGGGGCCCCCGGGCGGCAGGTGTCCTCCACTCCCCGGGCCGGCCCTCCCTGAACGGGGAGGTGGGCGAGAGGGCTTCGTTCCCCGCCATCCTCTCGGAAATCTTCTGCGCCATAACGAGGGGCGTGGGAACAGAGCGCAGGAGTCTGGGGTGCTCCACCGGCGGGGAGGGGGCGCGCAGCTCCCTCCTGGGGGGATCGGGGGTGCTAGGCAGGGGTGGTGGCGCAAGAAGGGTCTCGGGAGCCGGGGGGTCTGGAGGTGGAGGAGTCTCAGCATCTTGTTTCCTGTGCTCCTTCCCAGCAGGTGCAGGCCCTGGAAGACAAGGGAGGAGCCTGTGAGCCACCGGCCCACGTGAAAGTAAATGCATGAAGTTCCCTCTCGCTGAACTGAAAAGAGCCTCAACCTGGACCTGACACCAACTTCGCCGGTGCTGCCTGTGAGTCAACTCCTCTCTCCCTGTTCCTGGGACTAGGGAAGGAGAAGGTGGTATGTCATGCTCATGACCTCACGCTGATAAGGGACAATCACGATAGCCCTGCAAGTCAGACAGTCCACACCTAGGAGACATTCCGTCCATGTGGGCTGCTGAGGCTCCAGCCCCTGAGGCTGGGACAGGACGCAAGTAGTGACCAACTCATCAGGGGAGTTTACAAAGGGGAAATTGAGTCTAGAAAGTGTGTGGCACACACCGACACCAGCAGGTCTTTCTGGATGAAGGACATGTAGCTGTGTCACTTTCCTCTATGACAGAGAATTTAACAGGCCTGCCTCTGAGTCCTTACATAGCATGTATCAGTCACAGATCACCTGGCACTGCTGTACTTATGCATCTGTCTCTCAATACAACACTGGGCCGGGCGCGGTGGCTCGCACCTGTAATCCCAGCACTTTGGGAGGCCGAGGCAGGTGGATCACTTGAGGCCAGAAGTTCAAGACCAGCCTGGCCAACGTGGTGAAACCTTGTCTCTACTAAAAATACAACAATTAGCTGGGCGTGGTGGCGTGTGCCTATAGTCCCAGCTACTCTGGAGGCTGAGGCAGGAGAATCCCTTGAACCTGGGAGGTGGAGGTTGCAGTGAGCTGAGATGGCACCACTGCACTCCAGCCTGAGTGACACAGTGAGACTCTGTCTCAGAAAAAACAAAACAAAACAAAACAAAAAACAAAAAACCTGAAATTCATATCTTTTTATGTTCTTCTGTACTCTGTGGGCACTTAAAGTTGTTATGAATATGCCAGGTGTGGTGGCTCACACCTGTCCCAGCAATCTGGGAAGCTGAGGTGGGAGGATCACTTGAGCCCAAGAGTTCGAGACCAGCCTGGGCTGCATAGTGAGACCCCATCACTACAAAAAAAAATTTAGCCAGGCATGGTGGCACATGCTTGTAGTGCCAGCTACTTGGGAGGCTGAGGTGGGAGGATCATCTGAACCCAGGAGTTGGAGGGTGCAGTGAGCCAGGACTGTGCCATTGCACTCCAGCCTGGGTGGGAGAGAGAGTTCCTGTCTCAGAAAAATGAAAGAAAAATTGTTATGAAAATATGTTAGAGAACAGATGGACAGGTGTAGCTGATTTTTCAAAGAGTGTTTTCCTTGGCATGACTACGTGATCTCACATTTTAAAAGGATCGGCTGGTTCAAATTACTTTTGGAACTCTATTTCAAAGCAGAAGTACAGTAAAAAAGAACAGTACATTACTTCTCCTCTTTGAAGAGATGGCTGCAAACCAAGCTCCATATTTACATGGAATCCATAACCGTAGTATGTGAAGTTCTGAGTAATACATAGCCTTGCTTGAAAGACATACATGTGTACACACGTGTACACACTTTATTTCTAGTGGCTCAAGACAAATGACAGTATTTTATCCTTACCAGGGCAAAAGTAATGTTTCCTCATCCCTTCCAATGTTAAACCCTTGGCCACATTTGTTTTCAGTATCCTTTCCAATCGGGGAAAAAAACTGGAAGATATTTCTCTCTGCCCATTTCCCTCCAGCTCAGGGATCCCCAACAACCCTGGTACTGGTCTGGCCTGTTAGGAACTGGGGCGCACAGCAGGACGTGAGTGGTGAGCGAGTGAAGCTTCATTTGTATCTACAGCCTCTACCCATGGCTCGCATTACCGAGCTCCACCTCCTGCCACGTCAGCAGTGGTATGAGATTCTCTTTCTTTTTTTGAGACAGGGTCTCGCTCTGCCACCCAGGCTGGAGTGCAGTAGCACGATCTCAGCTCACTGCAACCTCTGCCTCCTAGGTTCAAGTGATTCTTGTGCCTCAGCCTCTGGACCAGCTGGGACTACAGGTGTGCGCCAGCTAATTTTTGTATTTTTAGTAGAGATGAGATTTCACCGTGTTGGCCAGGCTGGTCTTGAACTCCTGGCCTCAAGTGATCCATGGCGCCCAGCCTGTAAAATAGAATAATTACCTGGAAGCCATTTCCAATTTTCTTTCTGTGCATGTATGCATTGTGTATTTAAAAAAATGTAAACTCTGCTTATGTGCCCAGTTCATTCTTTTTTTTTTTTTTTTTTTTTTTGAGACGGAGTCTCACTCTGTCCCCCAGGCTGGAGTGCACTGGCACAATCTCGGCTCACTGCAAGCTCTGCCTCCCGGGTTCACGCCATTCTCCTGCCTCAGCCTCCTGAGTAGCTGGGACTACAGGCACCCGTCACCATGCCTGGCTAATTTTTTGTATTTTTTAGTAGAGACGGGGTTTCACTGTGTTAGTCAGGATGGTCTCAATCTCCTGACCTCATGATCCACCTGCCTCAGCCTCCCAAAGTGCTGGGATTACAGGCTTGAGCCACCGCGCCTGGCCCATTCCATTCTTTATTCTAGGCCCTCTGGCATTTCCCTTTGCTGGATGATGAAACTGCCAAGGAGTATTTTCCCCTATAAAAATCTGGTAAGACTCAACAACTTCTACTGGCAAACACAGGGGAACACAAAAGAAGTATCTCTGGGTCTCACAGACACCAGGAAACCACATCCCAGGGATGGCCTGTCTTCCCCCTCACCTGCTGCCTGGGTCCCCTCTGGAAGGCCCTCGGCTTCCCCGGCGCCAGGTGCTGGCTGCACTAAGTCGATGACATCTTCAGGCTCGGAGGGACTGGAGGTGCTCTCCTCCAGAGACGGGGAGCAGAGGCAGCACACTCCTCCATCGCACAGCACTGGCTCCTCAAAGTCCTCGTCTAGGGAGTCAATCGTCTCTTCAAAAAACAGGAGCACATCCTTTTCCTCATGGGTGAGGTACTTCAGGCTCTCATCATCCTAGAGTACAGGGATTGGGAACAGAAGAGAGAAAACAAACACTGGCTTCACTAAAGAGACAAAAGCTGAAGCAAAGTTGGGATTGGTCCACAGCCCAGGGCGGAACTCACTGTGTCCCGAGAGTACCCTGCCACACAGTGCCTGCGTGTGCCTCTCCATCACCCAGATGGAAGAGAACGTGTTCCGAAAGGCAGAGCAAACAACAGAGCCTCAAAGCTGTTATAACGGGCCCTCGCCTTGGGGTTCCTAGCAAGTCAATGACAAAAAGCACCCTCTCGGGAGCACACTGGAGAGCTGCAGTCAGCCTACGGCTATCCAACACACTTGTTTTTCCATAATCACGGGAAACCTCTGCTTAAAGATGGTGGATTGAACTCACATATTTATCTCCTTTCTCACCAGAAACCGTACTAAAACGAAGGGATTTTTTTTTTAAGGCACAAATCACAATGACAAAATAACAGGAAGAGAGATGGTGGAGCACGCATCATCTTTGGGGAACCTGAAGAATCCAACAGCCAAAAGCAGGGCAGCCGGAGAGCAGGACAGGTGGAAACTGACTGAGAAGGCCCAGGAAAGCCAGTGACCCACCTGCTGCATCCCGAAGAACTGCCCAGAAGCTCAGGCCCTGGAGGTGCTGAGCGGCTCTGGAAGTGTGGGCAAGGTGACGGTGAAGAGAGCTGAACTGTTTGAAAGTCTCTTTCAGAAGCAATGAGCTCATCCCGGCACAAAACTCGCCAGTTACTCTCGAAAAAGGTGACAGAGGAACCCTGAAGTGGGGCCACGGAGCAAAGCTGACGGTGGAGTGCCGTGTTAACAGTGTGGGCTGTCAGTGCAGCCAAGTGACCGCCCTCCAGATGGAGGACTGTGCATGTCATCTCTGGGGAACCCGAGGAATCCAAGAGCCAAAAAAGGCTGATCCCAAGGGTTCCCCAGCAAGATCAATCCACAGGTAAAGATTACAGTCAACGAATCCCAGTGTAGAACTGCGCAGCAGTTTCTTACTGTCCTACTCTGGAGTATGCGCAGATATCTAATAACCACCGAGCATCTGAGGAAAACTGTTAATGTGAAACAGCTATCAAAATCAAAGGATAGAAAAGCAACTTACAGGAAATGAACTATGTGGAGTGATGGAAAACTTCAAAAAGGCTATCATCAGTTGTCAGATAAGAGGGGATACTGAATCCATAAACAGCATGATTTTTTTTCTTTACAGGACAAAAGAAGACTTAGAAATAAATAAAAAATACTAACAGCACAAAAAAATGAAAAACTAAATAAAAGCCTAAAAGATAAAGTTGTAAAATCAGAAAACTATGAAAAAAAAGGATAAGAAAATCAAAGGATGGATCTGGGAGGGCCACTATGTGAATAATGAGAGTTCCAGAGAGAGAAATCAGAGAAAATGAGAGGAAGAAATTATAAAATAAAATAATTCAGGGAAATGCCCCTAAACAGGAACAGGTGAGTTTCCAAACTGAAAGGGGTCCTTAGTGTACAACCTAATGAATAAAAATCAAACAGACCCATGCCAAGGTATGCATCATTGTGACATTTCAGAATACTGAAAGCCAAGAAAAGATCTGGAAAGCTTCCCAGAGTGAAAAAGCAGGTCACATACAAAAGATCAGAAATCAGAAGCCAGGTGCGGTGGCTCACGCCTGTAATCCCAGTACTGTGGGAGGCCGAGGTGGGTGGATCACTCGAGCTCCAGAGTTCGAGCCCAGGCTGGCCAACATGGTAAAATCCTGTCTCTACTAAAGATACAAAAATTAGCCGGGCATGGTGGTGTGCACCTGTAATCCCTGCTACTTAGGAGGCCGAGGCAGGAGAATCACTTGAACCTGGGAGGCAGAGGTTGCAGTGAGCCAAGACTGCACCACTGCACTCCAGCCTGGGTGACAGAGCAAGACTCTGTCTCAAAAAAAAAAAAAAGAAAAAAAAAATTCAGAAATCAGAATTTGATAACTGCCTAAGTTACGTAAGAGAATAGTATCCTTGTTTTTAAAATGTACTTCAGTATTGAGGGGAGCATTATGTAGCAACTACATTCAAATGGTTCAGAAAAAATAAAGTGTGCGTGTGTTGTGTATATAGAGAGAGCGCATGTTAAAATGTGGAAAAAATTTAAAAATTGGTGAATCTAATTAAAGCGTAGGTGGGAGTTCTCTGTACTATTCTTATAACTTCATTAAGTTTGAAATAACTTCCAAACAATTTAAACAAACAAAAGATCAGGAATCAGAAAACAGCAACAGACTTCTCAGCAGCAACACCAGAAGCCGGGAGACAATGGGGGCTCAAAACCCGGATAAATTGTGAACTAGGATCCTATACATAATCCGATTATTAATTAGAACTACGGAAGAATAAAGGTGTTTTTAAGTCATGCAAGGTCTTCAATCTGATCTCCCATGTCAGCCTGTCTGAGGAAGCCTCTGCAGGGTAGTCAGGAAGGGCAGCTGTTCCTCTAAACACGGAGTAAACCCAGACAGAAGACACGGAGCCAGGTAACAGAAGCGTCCACATGAGAAAGCTGCAGGGAATCCCAGAATAACGAGGGCTCCCCAGGAAGCCACCTGTGCGCTCAGCAAGTAGTCTAGTTCACAACAAGCCCAAGGGTGGCAAAGGAAACCATGCAAGCAAAACCGAAACCATGAGCAACCACAGAAAAACTAATGTGAGAGAAAGCATTTATCTATCATCTGTGCACAGCAACATACACACCGACACCATAACAGAGTTGTCTCAGATTGAAATTGTGCATACTTAATACAGACACATGAAAAAAACAAAGGATATATAGCAATATGTCAATAGTGGAGGTAAATAACAAATAGGTAGAGTTAAGAGCTGTTGCCTCCCATTGAGTAGGAAATGGAGGTGGTACATGCGGACTGATGCTTTTATAAACCTTATAGACTATTTGACTCTATAATGCTATGAGTGTGGACTCTGCTTCTGCTGTACTTTTTTTTTTTTTTGTGGGGGGGATGGTTTCACTCCCGTTGCCAGGCTGTTGAGTGCAGTGGCGCGATCCTGACTCGCTGTAACCTCTGCCCCCAGGGCTCAAGTGGTTCTCCTGCCTCAGCCTCCAGAGATGCTGGGACTACAGGTGCACGTCTGTGCCCTGCTAATGTATTTTTTTTGTCTTATCAGAAGTGATTGAGAGCTGATCCATGTGGTGTAGTCTGATGCTTTCCACACTGTGATCTGAGAGGTATTCAAATGCCCACCTACCCAAAGCATCTAACTCCCAGGCCCATACAGAGCCTGTGGTCTACACAATTTCAGAGACTATAGTTGAAAGCATAGTACACTGTTGTTTTGGGGATGAAAACACAAGAACACATGCAAATTTCTCAAGCTAGCCTGGTCTTATTAGCTTAATCCTGAAAGAAGGATGTCTCAGGAAAAGGAGAGATACCTAGGCACGGGTTAGGTAGGCAGGCAGAACATTGCTAGGGAAGATAAGCAATGCGTACCTGTTGGATATAAACCTATGCACAATCGCCGGGTCTGAAGATGTGTGTCTGCTTGGGTGGGTGGACACAGCTTTCCGAAGTGGTTGTACTGACTGACACTTGCTTTCGGCAGGGCTGGTTGCTCTAGCGCCCTGAAGGAGAGGAATGCAGTCATATTTCACTGTGATTTTCAGTGTCATTTCCACGAAGACTAATGATGTTGAGCTTTTTTTTCTCCATAATACAGGTGAGTACTCCTCATCGGAAATGTTTGGGATAAGAAGTGTTCTGGATTTTTTCACATTTTGAAATATTTGCATATACATAATGAAATATTGATGTTTTGTATATGCCTTTTGTTGATTTTTTGGAGACCGTGTCTCACTCTGTTGCCCAGTCTACAGTGCAGTGGTACAATCACAGCTCATTGCAGCCTAGGTCTCCCCAGCTCAAGTGATCCTCCCACCTCAGCCTCCCCAGTGGCTGGAACTACAGGCAAACACTACCATACCCAGCTAATTTTTATATATTTTTTGTAGAGACAAAGTCTTGCTACATGGCCCAGGCTGATCTTGAACTCCTGGGCTCAGGCAGTCCTCTGGCCTCAGCTTCCCAAAGTGGTGTTATTGTAGGCATGAGCCACTGTGCCCATTCTATAGTAAGTCTTGATATCTGGCAGAGTCCTCCAGTTTTGTTGGAGTTCTTAAAGTCTTCCTTAAGTCTGTTTAGCTTTCTTAGTCCTTTTTTATTTCCACATAAATTTTAGTATCAGTTTGTCAATTTGCATATTCACATAAACACACGCATGCCCCTGTGGTGACTTTAAGCGGGATTTGCATGAAAGTTTCTCAAATTGCAGAGAACTGATGTCTCTGCGATCTTTTCTTGACCCATGAATATGGCTCATGGCTTCATTTATTTAGATGTGTGGTTCTCAAAGTGTGGTGTCTGGACCAGAAGCAGCATCTGTGAACTTGTCAGAAACATTCCTGGGTCCGATCCCAGACCTGCCGCATTAGAAACTCTCAGGCGCTGGGCCTGTCAGTCTGTGTTGGACGCAGCCTCCAGGGAGTCTGATGCGCTGACAGTTTAGATGCACAGATCTGGCTCTTTAATTTCTCTCAATGTTTCTCATAGTTTCCAGTGTAGACATCTTGCACGTTTTCTGCCCTATGTCTTCCTAGGTATTTGCTATGGCTCCGCCTACCCTTCACAGTTAACTTTCCACCATTCTCTCCTTTATATTCCTCGGGAGGCATGGCCAACTCTTTGGTAAAGGGCCAGGTAGTGAATATTCTGGGCTGTGCAGGCTTTAGGGTAGCAGCTTCTCAACTCTACCAAGGTAAGGAATGAGCCTCACTTTTGTTACACTGAACTGTATTTACAAAAGCACGGAGTGGGGGCAGCTACGGGCCACAGGCTATGGTTTGTCGCTTCTTGCTCCCTGCTCAAGTCCATCACTGGCTCTTCCTATGTCGGCTTCTAAGGCAGCGACGCCCATCCGTGCACGGCTGCATCTCACCTACTTTCACGGCCGGATTTCAAACCTCAGCCCACCCCCACAGCATCCCCTGAATCACAGCCACACACACGCACCTGCTAAGCACACAATCCAGTACCACAGTATAAATCATGCTCCTGCTGTCTAGAGCTTACCACCCAATGAGGGCTTCAGATAAGATCAGCAACTGCCCTAGAGTGTGGAACTCCTATGACAAGGTGAGCCTGGGGTGTGATGGAAACACGGCGTGCATGGTTACCAAGCCACGCTTCCAGGGAAAGGGGTCTGTGCAGGAAAAACTTCAGAGAGGAAATGACATGTCAGTCAATAACCTGAAAGAACTGGATGAGAGTTAAGCAACAAGGAACAAGGCACAGTCATCCACACAGCATTTTGGAAAGATCATGTTGGTTATAGTGCAGAAAATACTGAATATGGGAAACAATTTGTTATTATTTTTTAGGAGTCTTGCTCTGTCGCCCAGGCTGGAGTGCAGTGGCACGATCTCAGCTCACTGCAGCCACCACCTCCCAGGTTCAAGCAATTCTCCTGCCTCAGCCTCCAGGGTAGCTGGGACTACAGGTGCACGCCACCACGCCCGGTTAATTTTTGTATTTTTAGTAGAGATGGGGTTTCGCCATGTTGGCCAGCCTGGTCTCGAATTCCTGACCTCAAGTGATTCACCCACCTTGGCCTCCCAAAGTGCTGGGATTACAAGCATGAGCCGCCATGCCTGGCCTTGACCCAGCTGCATACTTGCTTTTGGTTTTGTTCTGTTGTTTCCCATCACACACTAACAAGCATCAACCGACCCTTGCTCGGATCCCCACGCAGGCCTCATACATTTCATCCCAGAGTTCCTCGGCTCACGGTCTCACCTCAGGGTTCTTTCTTCCTCTTCTTATTATTTGTATAAAATGAGACAAAAATCCATTTTCTTTTTTTTTTGAGATGGAGTCTCGCTCTGTCACCCAGGCTGGAGTGCAGTGGCACGATCTTGGCTCACTGCAATCTCCGCCTCCTGGGTTCAAGCAATTTTCTGCCTCAGGATCCGGAGTAGCTGGGATTACAGGCACCCGCCACCACGCCTGGCTAATTTTTGTATTTTTAGCAGAGACGGGGGTTTCACCATGCTGGCCAGCCTGGTCTCGAACTCCTGACCTCGTGATCCACCCACCTTGGCCTCCCAAAGTGCTGGGATTACAGGTGTGAGCTACCGCGCCCAGCCCAAAAATCCATTTTCACCGAGCCAGTTGGTGAGCAGCTTCCCAGGTCCTGGAAGCCTGAGATTCTCACATCCTCAACCTACCCGAGCCCCTCTAGGGTGTGGGGCTGGAGTGAGTGCTGGGCACCTGGTGTGTATCCCAAGCACCTTCTCTGTAGTCAGTCTGGCCTTGTGCCCTGAGTCCCAAGGCAGGGCCAGCCATGCTGTGGGCTGTCCGCTGCCTAATCCTGGGGGACGAAGCCACCTTCCACAGTGAACCCGGATCTGCCTTCCCTGGGAGGGGAGGAGAGGAGAGCAGAAGCAGAGAGTGCCGGTGGGGAAGGGATCAGGGCCTCAGGGTCAGAAAAGAGGCTTGTGGCCCTCGGCAGGGAGAATCTGTCTACCCCTCCCTCGGGAGATGCCCAAAAGAAAGAGATGGCCTGGGGGAGCAGGTCATGGCGATGAGGGCAGGGGCAGGGATGGGCAGTGACTGCAAATGGGCCATGATTTCTTTTCAGGAGAGGAAAACATTCTAAAATGGACTGTGGGGATGTAAATACACTAAATGCCATTGAATGTATACTTTACATGGGTGAACTGTATGCTATGTGACTTGTATCCCGATAAAGCTGTTATAGTAAAAAAATCCAAAAGCACAAGGCATCGCCTGGTGGTCCTTGGAGGCGGGAGAGAGCTGGAGCCCGCAGTGGAGGCTCCTGCAGGGCTGGGTGCTGTTGGAAGAGGCGTTTGCTAATGACTCAGGTCCCTAGGAACTATGTAGATAGGAAATGAGAAGCAAAAATAGCCGCTTTCTTGGGCAAGGGTGAGTTGGAGAAAGCGTTAAGTTTGTCCCTATTAGTTAGAAAGGTAGAAGAAGGCGGACAGCAGAAAAGTAAATTCCCTTCTCACAAATTTTTTTTGTTTGTTTTTTTGAGACAGTCTCTCACTCTGTCTCCCAGCTTGGAGTGCAGTGGTGTGATCTTGGCTCACTGCAACCTCCGCCTCCTGGTTCATGCAATTCCCCCACCTCAGCCTCCAGAATCGCTGAGATTACAGGCTGCACCACCACACTCGGCCTTTTTTGTTTTTTGGTATTTTTAGCAGAGATGGGGTTTCAGCGTTTTGGCCAAGCTGGTCTCAAGCTCCTGACCTCAAATGATCTACCCGCCTCAGCCTCCCAAAGTGCTGGGATTACAGGCATGAGCCACCATGCTTGGCCCAAATGATGTTTTTTAATGTACCAGTTTGGATTGTGGAGTAAATGGCAGTTCTTTAAGGATACACATCTTCAGATGTTAAAAGAACAGGCTAGGAAACCATCTCTCCTTTTTTTTTTTTTTTTTTTTTTTTGAGACAGAGTCTCGCTTTGTTGCCCAGGCTGGAGTGCAGTCATACAATCTCGGCTCACTGCAACCTCCACCTCCTGGGTTCAAGCGATTCTCCTGCCTCAGCTTCCTGAGTAGCTGGGACTATAGGCACCTGCCAACACGCCCAGCTAACTTGTTTATTTTTAGTAGAGATGGGGTTTCACCATATTGGCCAGGCTGGTCTCGAACTCCTGACCTTGTGATCTACCCGCCTCGGCCTCCCAAAGTGCTGGGATTATAGGCGTGAGCTACTGTGCCGGGCCCATCCCTCACATTCTATCCTACCATGCTGACTTCAAGAAATGACAAGTCTCTGAAGGAAATATTGCTTTGCTTCAAGAATGTGAGCAATGTATTTTTACCCTAATATATATATGATATGATTTTGAAGAGAGAATTTCTAGTGCATTCAAACCAGAAAACTCAAAATGCTGAACATACTAAGGTCATTATAATGCACCAGAACAAGCCCCCACGTAGAGAACAAAGTCCCAGTCTAGCTGATCTCTGTTGACTCCTGCATAGAGATGGCAGAAAAAAGGTCTATCCAAGCCCCATTCAAGCTCTGAGGGCAGCAGCCCAATAAAAAGCTAGATGACAACTTTTTAAAAAACAGCAACAGGTCGAGAAGTCCTAGCTATTGCTATACCAGCACAGATTAGAGAAACGGTAGAATCAAATCTTTGGTTGGTTGAACAAAAATGCTGAGAAGGCTTAAAATACGTGTACTGAAGTAACCCCTACCTAAAAAACAGCTGAATTGGCCAGGCGTGGTGGCTCATGCCTGTAATCCTAGCACTCTGAGAGGCCGAATCACTAGAGGCCAGGAGTTTGATACCAGCCTGGCCAACATGGTGAAACCCCGTTTCTACTAAAAATACAAAAAAAAATTAGCCAGGCGTGGTAGCACCCACCTGTAATCCCAGCTACTTGGGAGGCTAAAGCAGGAGAATTGCTGGAACCCAGGAGGCAGAGGTTGCACTGAGCTGAGATTGTGCCATTGCATTCCAGCTCTGGGCAACAGAGCAAGACTCCATCTTGGGGGGGAAAAAAAAAGAAATTTAGTTTAACTGCAGACTAAGACAATTGTGGCAACCCCCTGTGAGGGATTTAAAAAATGTGAAGCAGCAGAACTCATCTCTGCTCCACCTGCACTTAGAGTCTCTCTTCCGAGGTTGCCGAAGTGGGCGCGGCACAGTTTCGGGACAAAGGTTTAATTAGGGTTTCTTTTTTTTTTTTTTTTTTTTTAGATGGGGTCTCCATCTGTTGCCCAGGCTGGAGTGCAGTGGTGCGATCTCGGCTCACTGCAACCTCCGCCACCCGGGTTCAAGTGATTTTCCTGCCTCAGCCTCCGGAGCAGCTGGGATTACAGGCACGCGTCACCACGCCTGGCTAATTTTTGTATTTTTCGTAGAGACGGAGTTTCACCATGTTGGCCAGGCTGGTCTCCAAATCCTGACCTCAGATGATCCACCCACCTGGGCCTCCCAAAGTGCTGGGATGACAGACAGGCGTGAGCCACTGCACCCGGCCAATAATGGTTACTTCTAGCTAGATACTACTGTCATGTTTCAAGATGGCTCACTTAAACCTGTACTTCTGGCAGGAAAGAGACCCAAACCCATGAAGAATGAGATACATGTACAGTTTTGATTATAAAACCAAAGAATAATGGCTTCACAAGATGACGGCTGGGCTCCTGGGCTGCCTTCAGTGTCTTTAAACAGGTAATACAGATCTTGCTTTCTTCTCTCTCTCTCTGAGAGATCTTGACTGAGACAGACACACCCCAAGTGTGCAGCATTTGAGGCGCTCCGAGACCCTCATGAGCTTGGGTCCTCCATGGCTGCCTCGTCACTATATGGTGAGTTCCTAAAAGGGGGCAAACTGAGTCTTATCCCATCACCTCTCAGTTCTTATATGCAGTAGGCATGTATGAAATGTTGAGTGAATTGGCCTTTTAGAAAAGCTACTGAGTTATGTTTTAAAGCAGCTGTTTGACCAGGACCATTTGGATTCCAGCTGGGTGAGAAGGCAGCATGAAAGGGCGGGGTTATGGCTGATGGGGCGGCTCCTCCCTCAAGGCACCTCCGGTTCAGTGTCCCCTCCTGAAGTCACAGAGCAAACAGCACATCAGATTTCTAGCACACTCCTCAGACTTTGCTCCGGCCCGGCCACGTGGGAAGCCCCCCAGTGCTTGCCATGCCTTCTTAGTCCATGAGCCATGTGTGGGGCCAAAGGTGTCAAGTGCTCTGGAGCAACAGGGTGGCTCAGGAGCTGCCGGCTGCCTGGTCACAGACCGCTGTGTGACTTCAGGGCCACAGCACTTGTGGGCGTAGGGAGAGGGGGATTCGAGACAGTTCATCAAATATTAAATCCTAAAAACTCATTCATAAATTTGGATCACTGTTTCTGCCCAAGCCAGAGGTAAAAACAAATAACAGGTAGACTTGGGATGTCCCCAGCCACCCTCACAAAAGCAGCCATGCTGTTCCAGCTCCACTCCTTGAGAACCATGCGAGTGCAGAGCTCTCCGCCCTTTCCGAGCAGCCAAATCCTATTTCTTCTAGAGGAAGCTTCGGGATGTGTGAAGGCAGACCCGACTTCAGGACCTCATTCAGAGTGAGAGCCTGGGAACGCTGGTGTGAGGCAGCACCGTGCCCTCGCCGTGCACCCAGGGGGTTTTGTGAGACGAGGTGAGCCCTGGAGACACAGGCCTTAGAGGGTGACGGTGGTAACCAAACACCCAGAGCCGCCTGCAGCAGCCATGGAGAGGAGAGCTGTCACATATGGACATCTCAAGCCCTTCTCGGGCCTTTTATTTTGTGCCTGCATCACCTCTCGAGGTAGTAAGCTCCACAAGCACACTCCCGACGTTGTCAGGAAGCACCGCCTTGCACACACATCAAAGCTGCCCTCTTATGTTTCAAATGAAAAGACATAATTCAAGGGATGCCTTTGTAGCCACATATTCTAGGATTTGGACAACTCATTCTAGTTCTACCTATACCTTTCATTAAAAAATGTTCACAGGCAGGATTCTTTACCAAAAAAATGCACACACACAACTAGCCTCTTGAGAAATAAAAACTTCATGTTCACTGCCCTCTTAGAACAGCCTCAGTCATAATTGTGGCCATACGGATAGCCTCAACAATCCTATTTAAGTGGCTATTTTAACTTTAAAAACTATTCGAGATCATCTTCTAGAATTTATGTATTTGTTTTGTGTGGAAATAGGGGTCTTGCTATGTTGCCCAGGCTGGCCTTTAACTCCTAGGCTGAAGTGATCCTCCTGCCTCAGGCCTCCCAAGTAGCTCAGACTACAGTTGTGCGTCACCAAACCTGGACGCTTTTTAAATTTTTAACTTGCACTGGCTCAGGAGAAAAGTTTCTAATGAGCAAAGATCTGTTATATACCAGGTGACACTCCAACTAGCACTTAAAACTTTAGGGTACTCTCAATTAAAATCAGGCGTTCATCTTTTATCGTCTTTTTTCTTTTTTTTTTTTTTTTTGAGATGGAGTCTTGCTCTGTCGCCCAGGATGGAGTGCAGTGGCGCGATCTCGGCTCACTGCAAGCTCCGCCTCCCGGGTTCACACCATTCTCCTGGCTCAGCCTCCCCAGTAGCTGGGACTACAGGCGCCCGCCAACACGCCCAGCTAATTTTTTTGTATTTTTAGTAGAGACGGGGTTTCACCGTCTTAGCCAGGATGGTCTCAATCTCCTGACCTCGTGATCCGCCTGCCTTGGCCTCCCAAAGTGCTGGGATTACAGGCGTGAGCCACCGCACCTGGCCTTATCTTCTTTTAAGAATAACGTTTGCTTAAAAAAAAAAAAAAACAAAAAACCTCTATAAATGAGAACGAGGTTTTCTTTCTTAAGAAACCCACAGCCTAACTAGGTTATGTTTTACTTAAAGAGCCTTCTAAGAGGTGCATTTACATATCGTACAACCTAGAGGCCTAAAAACGCTGTTGACTGACTAATCTTTCATGACCTTGGGAATTAAAGGACACTGCTTAATTGAAGAGACTGCTATAGTTGATTTTTGTTTTAAAGAGAAAAGTCACATTAAAAAAAAAAAGACCTGATGAGTTAGAATAAAACTTATAGCTACTCTCAGAATTTACACTTCCAAAAAAGTGGAGTATGACGTTTAGAGACGCTGTATTGCTGTGATAGGGACTGGCTGCTAAGTGCGGCTCTGTGAAAATCAAGTGTCATGTGACTGTTTAAAAAACTTTAGTAGGAAAAATACAAAAATTAGTCGGGGATGGTGACACATGCCTGTAATCCCAGCTACTCGGGAGGGTGAGGCAGGGGAATCGCTTGAAACCAGGAGGCAGAGGTTGCAAAAAAAAAAAAAAACTTTCAGCAGGCTGGGCATGGTGGCTCATGCCTATAATCCCAGCACTTGCGAAGGCTGAGGCAGGAGGATTGCTTGAGGCCAGGAATTCTAAACCAGCCTGTTCAACATAGCAAGACCTCATCTCTACAAAAAAATTTAACAAATTAGCCAGGTGTGGTGCTGCTGCAACCGTTATCCCAGCTACTTGGGAGGTTGACGCAGGAGGCTCACTTGAGCCTAGGAGGTCACGGCTGCAGTAAGCTATGATTGTGCCACTGCCCTCCAGCCTGGGTGACAGAGCAAGACCTTGTCTTAAACAAAAACAACAGAAAACCACTTTAGTTGTCATTTAAAGTTAAATGCCATATTTTCTCATTTTGCTAGTTCTAAAGGAAAGTACACAACTGTGAAATAATAAGATGACAAGTAAACTTAGCTCAATGTCCCTGGAGGAAAATGCCTGAAAACAGTTAACAGGCCTGAGGGGAAGGCAAGGAAACACGACCAGAACATTCCTCCAACATCAGGAGGAGAACAGGTCTAAGGCTGGATATGCAGCAGAATTCTGTGATCCCAAACACACACCATGTAGACGTAACTTAATTATAGGCGTCCTATGAGTGGGCTTTACAATGCTGTTTCCATTATTCTACCCTATGATATACAGGGACAGGCACGGCAGGGAACAGACAGAGAGACATCACATATACCACGGGAGTGCTACTGGATGATTTACCGGATAGGAAAGAACTGGGTAGAACAGGAATCCTTTAATTTAAAATCAAACTCATGCCCATAAAACTGGTAGAATTAAGAAATGTGTGCAGTAGGGAGGAGGAAGGAATGTTCCCTTTTACCACCTCACCTTTAGCGATCAAAGAAAAAATAATTTAAACGTCTACGGAGAAACGAAGGAGATGGAAGGAGGAGCATGGATCCAAACAAGATGGTGGCGGCAGGATGAAGGGGAATGGCGCCCCACCTGGACACTAACAGAACACCAGGGAAGGAGAAGCTGGCACCAGAGCTGCTTGGGTGCTGGGCATTTCTTTTGAGATGGAGTCTCGTTCTGTCGCCCAGCCTGGAGTGCAGTGGCGCGATTTCAGCTCACTACAACCTCTGCCTCCTGGTTCAAGTGATTCTCCTGCCTCAGCCTCCCGAGTAGCTGGGATTACAGGTGCCCACCACCACGCCCGGCTAATTTTTGTATTTTTAGTAGAGACGGGGTTTCACCATGTTGGCCAGGCTGTTCTCAAACTCCTGACCTCAGGTTATCCACCTGCCTTGGCCTCCCAAAGTGCCGGGATTACAGGCGTGAGCCACTGTGCCCGGCCAATCAAATAATATTTATCACATATTACCATAATGGTTTTAAAAAAGAAAATATGCAAGTGGGGGTCTAGAAAATTCTGTCATTACTAATAACTACCCCATACCAAGTATATCTAGCTTCAGCGTAACTGAGGCTAATTTTATGGCTCAGTGTATCTGAGGGAAACTGGCGTTCCCACTGGAAGGAGAGGACCTGAGAGGTGCCCCCAATGGTTCCTAGTGAGGCCCGGGGGACCATTTCTCTCCTGTGCTCCTCCCTCTAGGAGTGAGTGTCATGGTCTCCCCTCTCTTGAAAGATGAATGTCCTCACCGGGGAAGGCACGAGATCCTCTTAACTTCACCAACTCTTTTTGTAAAGTTCCCAAAGCTATGCAAAGGTCTGGATTCTGAGAAGGATACAAAAGCATCTTTACTTGCACAGGAGTGAAACATCAGCTTGAGTGGCCGGGCGCGGTGGCTCACGCCTATAATCCCAGCACTTTGGGAGGCCTGGCGCGGTGGCTCACGCCTATAATCCCAGCACTTTGGGAAGCTGAGGTGGGCGGAGTTCGAGATCAGCCTGGCCAACATGGTGAAACCCTGTCTCTACTAAAAATACCAAAAAAAAAAAAAAAAAAAAAAAATAGCCGGGTGTGGTGGCACGAGCCTGTAATCCCAGTACTTGGGAGGCTGAGGCAGGAGAACTGCTTGAAGTTGGGAGGCGGAGGTTGCAGTGAGCCAAGATCGCGCCACTGGAGGACAGAGTGAGACTCTGTCTCAAAAAAAAGAGTCAACTGTGTTTATCGTGTGAGCTCTTCAGCAGCGCTCCTGCCTGGGTTGGTTTCTGCCCCGGGCCTGGTCCTATCTACGTCTAAGCAGCCATGAGTTACTGGCCACAGCGAGGGATTTGCTCCATGGCTATGGGTAATGCTCTGTATTTGTGCAAAATTTAAGATGATTAAAAATAAAGAACCACTTCACAAAGAAGTATTCCAGAACATCAAGCTAGTTGACCCAAAAAGATCTGGTAAAATATTCCTTCAAGGGAGAGGGATTGAGGCAAAATCCACTGACCCAGGCACAGGAAAGCATGAAAGAAAAACTGTCACTCACCAAAGTGAAGCTTCTGGAGCGAGAGCTGCTGCTTCGACTCTCCAGGCTGCCGCCTCTGCTGAAGGCTCGGAGCCTGCAGCTGGGGGACGTGTCTGAGTTCATGTCAGATGCGTCTGATTTCCGGTGGGTTACAGGCATCTCCACAGAGTCCTCAGGGCCGGCTCGATCACAGGAAGCAGGGCAGGAGCCAGCAGCCCATTCTGCGGCAACAGCTCACTCCTAGAGACACCAAACACGAATGACAATGGTCAGTAAGCCGAGACTGTAAAACGCCTCAATCCCTCAAAAACATGGCTTAGATTAATCTCCACTCTCAGACTCGACCATTAGGGTAAAGGCGATTGGGAAACGCTAAGTCAACCAGTTTGAGGATGCTGACTGCCATGTCTCCTTTATATTGTTAACCATTCTGAACACATAAGAATAATTTTTAAAAGTTTGTTGTTGTTTTTTTTTCAGAGATAGAGTCTTGCTATGTTGTCCAGGCTGACACTGAACTCTTGGGCTCCAACGATCCTCCTGCCCCGGCCTCCTGAGTACCTGGGATTATAGGCACAAGTCACCATGCCCAGCCGGAATAATCTGAAGGAAAGACGGGTATATTCAAGATGACTTTGCTGCTGGAAATATGACAGAATAATGTGGTATCTTCTTCTGCACTTCCAAGCTCTTTCACACTCAGGCTCTTCCTGGCTTTTCTGCCTCAGCCACCATAAACTGTGGTTGCTTCTCCAGCTCTGTTACAGTTCAGACTTGAGGGGAGGTGACAAGAGCTAACATGTTACCATGGGGAGCCTGGCTGACATCTCCGAAACTGAAGACTCTATGGAAGCCTCATGCTATTGCAATGTGTACATCAAAAGTAAAGTACCCCAGGTTAAAACTATGAGGAAGTTGCCATCTTTACTTCCAGGAGCAAAGACACTGAAACTGTCCCCTGTAAGCCCCTTAATTTCATACAGTCCTCTGACTGCCCCCCCAACCCTGGCTACTTTTTTTTGAAATAAGGTCTCACTCTGTCATCCAGGCTGGAGTGCAGTGGCAAAATCACAATACCCTGCAGCCTTGACCTCATGGGCTCAAGCAGTCCTCCCACCTCAGCCTCCTGGGTAGCTGGGACTACAGGCTTGCACTACCACACCCAGCTTATTTTTTGTAGAGACAGAGTTTCGTCATGTTGCCCAGGCTGGTCTCAGGAGTCACTCCTGAGCTCAAGTGATCCGCCTGCCTTGGCCTCCCACAGTGCTGGGATTACAGGAGTGAGCCACCATGTCTGGTCCTCTGACCCTTTTAGCAGGAAATCCAGCCCAGCCCCTGAACGGCATGTTAGACAGTTCAACAAAGCCTTCTAGAAGACCAAAGAAGACTCATAGGAATAAGCCTCTTGCTGATTAATGGAAACATGACCATTTGTGGAGAAAGTGCAATCTGCATTGAACACCTTTAGGGGAACCTGTCATTTAAGACTTCAAGCATTACCATGAAAACTTCCTCTGAAACACCTTACAGACATCTCTGTAAAACAGATTTAAAAAGAAACACATTTCTGCTTAATCGGTACACATCAAATGGCGATTTAAGAGCAAGGCTAGGAAACCAGAAGATGATATGCATATACATAAAGTTGCCACTATTCCAAATAGTAAAATAAAGACAAAGTCAATGGTCCTAGGAGAGCTGGTGGGTTGTGGAGCCAGGAGAGAAAGGCAGCTCCCTTCACCTTCCCTGTACATTCCAGGAGGCCCTAGAATGACCTAGATGGTGTTACGCACAAAGCCCTCCTTTTCCCATCCCGCCATCATCTCAGGAGCAAATGGCCACACTCGGGTATACGGAGCAGCTCAAGCAACCAGGTCTTCCTGCCATTCCCCTGAAAGGGCTGGTTTTGCCAAACGCCAGAGCCACATTGTGTTAATCAGCGCCCATCCCTAGACACAGGGGCTTGCAGCCTTGTCACACAAATGAGCCATGGAGATGTTTCCGACTCCTCCCCTCCCTGCCACTCACAAGCAGCCAGCTGCCGAGCCCTGCAGACTCTTCCTTTACGACGTCAGTTGTATCCACTTCCCTTCTGGTCCCACACCCAAGTTCAGGACCATTTTAGCACGTGCCTACATTATTGCCACAGCCATTGTCTTCATCTGTTTTGTGCTGCTGTACAAGGAACAAACTTATTTGGCTTGTGGTTTGGGAGGTTGGGAAATCCAAGATCCAGGGCCACATCTGCTGAAGGCCTTCCTGCTGTACCGTAACATAACGGGAGGCATCACTGGTGAGAGAGAGAGAGCACAAGAAAGGGCCAAACTCGCTTTTATAGTGAACCCACTCCTGCAATAACAACGTTCAAATGCTAACCACCTCTTCCCGTCCCTGCCCCTCAACATGGCCATGCTGGGGATTAAGTGTCCAACACATGAGCTTTGGGATACATGTTCCAACTACAGCCGCCACCTGCTGTCCTCCTTGCCTTCTCCCTCTTCTCTACACTTCTGCCGGATTCTCTAGTTGGATTAATCTTGAAACATCACTTAATTGTTACCACTCTCCCAAAAGCAGTCAATTTTAACCCATTCCCAACAGGCTTGAGAATAAAAGTTTCAGCCAATCAGTCATCACCTGCTTCCATCTGAACCCCATCTTCCTTTCTAGCCTAAGCATATTCTTTGATGCTTACTATTTTCCTACCTCACCTTGGGGAGATTCCAGGTACTAGAGAAAGGCAGATGAGTCAGAGGCTTCCCTTCCAGAGAGGAGCCCATCTATGCACTGATGCTTAACCCAGGCAATGGATCAGAAGCTCTCTGGGACTCAGACCTAGACCTACAGAATATATTTATGGGGGTAAAGGCTGGGAGTGTGCGTGTTTTTAAGGAGTTCCACAAGTGATTCTGCCACATAGCACCAACTGTAAGGGAAGACAGATATGTAACAATGTTCAGTGCCATTACAGGGAGTCCAGGAGGGCCCACCATGGCCCTAAGATTTAAGGAGACAGCTAGTTAAACTCTTTGTTTTTTTGTTTTTTTTTTGAGACGGAGTTTTGCTGTGCCGCCCAGGCTGGAGTGCAATGTTGCAATCTCGGCTTACCGCAACCTCCGCCTCCTGGGTTCAAGCGATTCTCCTGCCTCAGCCTCCCAAGTAGCTGGGACTACAGGCATGCGCCACCACGCCCAGCTAATTTTTGTATTTTTAGTATAGACGGGGTTTCACCATGTTGGCCAGGATGGTCTTGATCTCTTGACCTTGTGATCCGCCCGCCTCGGCCTCCCAAAGTGCTGGGATTACAGGCGTGAGCCACCACACCTGGCTTGTTAAACAAACTCTCCAAACACCACTTCAACATCACCCACTCCCATGGGCATTCCTAACAGAAAAAAGAATCAACAAAGATGTGGAAATGTAAGCCTGTTTGAAAAATGGCAAGTGCGCAGGATAAAGCAGTGAACTCAGCTCAAGCACAAGATACAACACGGGTTGCAAAACAGGTAGAGAGAGGTGCAAACTGGGGGGATGAGGTCAGCTGGACCTCAGTAAAAGCAGCTTTGATTTCTGAACTTTGCCGACAGGTAGGGGGGCACCAAGGGAGGTTTACGCCCTGCAAAGGGACAGGACCCACTTACAGTTTAGAAAGACGACTCTGGCCATGGTCTGAAGGGTGGGCAGAACCAAGAGAAGGCCCTGAAAGCAGTGAGGCTAACTGAACACCACACATTTGGCTTAAAAAGCAAGGGAAAGAACAGAGTGGGGGGCCAGGCACGGTGGCTCACGCCTGTAACCCCTGCACTTTGGGAGGCCAAGGTGGGTGGATCACCTGAGGTCAGGAGTTCGAGACCAGCCTGGCCAACATGGCGAAACCCCGTCTCTACTAAAAATATAAAAATTAGCCGGGCATGGTGGCAGGTGCCTGTAATTCCAGCTACTTGGGAGGCTGAGGCAGAAGAATTGCTTGAACCCAGGAGGCAAAGGTTGCAGTGAGCTGATATCATGCCACTGCACTCCAGCCTGGGCGGCAGAGTGAGACTCTGTCTCAAAATACAAAACAAACAAACAAACAAAAACAAAACAAAACAAAAACAAACCAGAGTGGGGCACACTCCCACTTTGACAGGGAAACAAAATATGTGTGTGAACCTCTGAAAAGATACACAAGGAAAATGACCATGGCTGACTCTGGGAAGAGAAATGGGTGAAGACGAGGATGGAGGGACACGCACTCTTACCAAATGATCTCCTTATCTTTGGAATGCTGCACATCTTAACTATTCAATAGATTATTTAAGAGGTAATAAAAACCGTTATCAAGTTATTTTATCAGTTCACAAAAGAGACGATGAAGATGTGAAAACTGTGGTGGCTGTCAGGTAAGAAGAGAAAAGCTGTGAGATCAAAGAGAAAGAATCCACGAAGTTTTAGAGTTTTAGTGGCTGACGTAAGGGAAGAAAACATTTCAACAGTGAGAGAAGTAACAGAAGCCACAGAAATTCAAAACAGAATAAGGGCTGGGCATGGTGGCTCACGCCTGTAATCCCAGCACTTTGGGAGGCCGAGGTGGGTGGATCACTTGAGGTCAGGAGTTTGAGACCAGCCTGGCCAACATAGTGAAACCCCATCTCTACTGAAAACACAAAAAATTAGCCAGGCGTGGTGGCAGGCACCTGTAATCCCAGCTACTCGGGAGACTGAGGCAGGAGAATTGTTTGAATATGGGAGGTGGAGGTTGCAGTGAGCAGAGATTGCGCCAATGCACTCCAGCCTGGGTGACAGAGCGAGACTCCGTCTCAAAACAACAACAACAACAAAACAAAACAACAAAACAGAATAAGGACTAAAAACCAGCCACTGACTCCATCAACTAAGGTGACCTTGTGAAGGCGGGTTAGAAATCACACTGCAGCGGGCTGCGCTGGGAACAGCAATCCTGGAAGCAGATGGTTAGTGGTTTTTGAATTTGGGGTGAAAAGAGTAACAGAAAAGAGAGATGAGGCAATAGCTGTAGAGGAAAATGGGGTTGAAGAAAAGCATTTTGGATTCATATATATATATATATATATATATATATATTTATTTATGTTTTTCTTTTTTTTCTTTAAGAATAGGAGACACTTGAGCCTAGTCATGAGCTATGGGAAAAAGTTGGGGAAAAGAGAAGGTAAAACCCTGGACAGGCTGGGAGTGGTGGCTCACGCCTGTAACCCCAACACTTTGGGAGGCCGAGGTGGGAGGATTGCTTCAGGCCAGGAGTTTGAGACCAGCCCGGGCAACATAGAGATGCCCCCCGACCCCACCCCAACTCTACCAAAAATAGCAAAATCAGCCAGGCGTGGTGGTGCGTGCCTGTAGTCTCGTGAGGTGGGTGGATGGCTGGAGCCCAGGAATCTGAGGCTGCAGTGAGCTATGATTATACAACTGCACTCTGGCCTGCGTGACAGAGCTGGCCATCTCTAAAACAAACAAACAAACAAAACCCAAACCAAATCCCAGAAACTTTCCTCTCTGGCAGTTAGACAGACTCCATGGCCTGGCCGGCCTGTTCAAAGCTGTTTCAGTGCTGGATGAAATATAAAACACCTGTGACTCCCTGCTTCCAGCGACAGGCAGGAGGAAATGCTATCGACCTAAAAAATAAGCAGAGTAATGTAAAAAACAACCAAATACAACTTTTTATGAAGAAAAAATTGATAACAAAGAAAAAACTCGACAGATGGCATAAACAGAAGATCAAATATAGCTAGAGAGAGAATGACAGAAAGAAAAATGATCTGAAGAAACCTATCATTTGTCCAGATTGTAGCACAGAGAGATGTGAAAACCAATGAGAGGTTAAGAGACCCAACACAGGTTGAGAAGGTTTATGTCTATGTCTAAGGTTTGTGTTTAACTGGAGTTTCTCAGAGGGGAGGAGAGCTGATGTGGCAGAAGTAATGTTCAAGGCCAGGCATGGTGGCTCACACCTGTAATCCCAGCACTATGGGAGGCCGAGGCAGGTGAATCACTTGAGGTCAGGAGTTCGAGACCAGCCTAGCCAACATGGTAAAAACCCGTCTCTACTAAAAATACAAAAATGAGCCGGGCGTGGTGGGGCACACCTATAATCCCAGCTACTTGGGAGACTGAGGCAGGAGGGTCGCTTGAAACCGGGAGGTAGAGGATGCAGTGAGCCGAGATCGCACCACTGCACTCCAGCCTGGGCAACAGAGTGAGACTCCATCTCTAAAATGAATGAATGAATGCATGAATGAATGAATGAATGAAGTAATGTTTAAGGAGACAATGGCTGAGCGTGTTTCACAATGGATGAAAGATACTAGGTGGTATAGCTTCAGTCTGAGGGTCCCCCCACCAGAACCATTCTCCAGCTTTCTCTAGCCTCACTCTCCTGCCTCAGGAGCAGGAATGTATCAGATGGGCACCCTTGCTGTGGGGCTGCTGGTTGAGTCCAGCCAATGAGACCCCAGCACGCAAGGCAGGCTGCCAGCTCCCTGCAGGCTGCTGGGTCCCGCCGAGGACCCCAGCCTCTGCCCTTCCTCTCAGCTCCCTCCCCGGGTTCCACAGCTCCCTCCCTTTCCCCGAGGGCCTAGGGGTGCTAACAGCTACCGAGTGTTGCTGTCCTCTAGGTACCGAACCATCCTCTGTTGCTTTCCCTAACCCTGCCTGTATTTTTTGTAAATAATCTAAGTATTAAACTTTCCTCAATTATTCATTTTTGTGTGTATCCTCTATATCCTGCTTACTGATAAAGACATCAAGTCACAGACAGAGGAATTCTGATGAATCCCAAACAGAATACAAATTTTAAATGTACTATTAGACAATCACAATGAAACCACAGAACACCGAAAACAAGAAAAAGTTAAAAGCAGCTACAAATCTTGAAAGCAGCCTCAAAACCGTAGTTAAAAGGCTGTGGGGAAACAAGGTGCTCCGAGGTTCCGCTGGTGGGGGTGTAAACTGGCATAACCCCTCAGGGGGCAACCGCATAGTATCTATCAAAATGTAAAATATATTCCCACGCACCTAGCAATTCCATTTGGGGAAATTTATCCTACCGAGAAATTGCACACACACACAGGGACATATGTATTAGGTTGGTGCAAAAGTAATCAGGTTTTTTTCCATTATTTTCAATGGCAAAAGTCGTGATTACTTTTGCACCAACCTTATAATGTTATTCACTGTAGGATTGTCTGTAATAACAAAAATCCCCCAAAAAACCTAAGTGTCTCACATAAGGGGCTGGTTAAATAGAGTACATCCATGTAACTGAATACTAATCAGCTGTATAAAGAATGCGGAAGGCTGGGAGTGGTGGCTTATGCCTGTAATCCCAGCACTTTGGGAGGCCAAGGCGGGCGGATCACTTGAGGTCAGGAGTTTGAGACCAGCCTGGCCAACATGGTGAAACCCTGTCTCTAGTAAAAACACAAGTATTAGCCAGGCGTGGTAGCTCATGCCGGTAATCCCAGCTACTCGAGAGACTAGGGTGGGAGAATCGCTTGAACCCAGGAGGCAGAGGTTGCAGTGAGCTGAGATCGTGCCACTGCACTGCAGCCTGGGTGACAGAGCGAGACTCCATCTCAAAAATAAAAAAGAATGAGGAAGCTCTCCATGTACTGATGAGTAAAGATCTCTAGGTATATTACTGAGCAAAAAAATGCAAAGTCTAGGACTATATATAAAATACTATGCATTGTGTAAAACCAAGAGATTACAGATTAAGAATGTATATTTGTATTTGTTGTTACATGCATAAGAAACTTTGGAAGGATATACAAGTCAAGAACAATTGTTGGGCGTGAGGGGTAGAAGTGAGTTGAGGACAAGAGTTAAATGTAGAGTTTTTAGAAATATAATTACCTTTTCTTTTTTAACCATATGAATGTATTACCTTTTGAAAAACTTAAAGATACTGTAAAAATATTCAAAGTGGCTGGGTGCAGTGGCTCATACCTGTAATCCCAGTGCTTTGGGAGGCTGAGTGGGAGCATTTCTTGAGGTTGGGAGTTCAAGACCAGCCTGGGCAACATAGTGAGACCTTATCTCTATAAGAAATTTAAAAAATAGCCAGGCACGGCAGGACATGCCTATAGTCCTAGCTGCTGGGGAGGCTGCAGTGGGAGGATCACTTGAGGCCAGGAGTTGGAGGTGGCAGTGAGCTGTGATCATGCCACTGGACTCCAGCCTAGGGGGCAGGGCAAAGACCCTGTCTCAATCAATCAAATGCACTCAAAGAAAAGACAGATTATTTTCAAAGAAGTGATAATTAGACTGACTTCTTGAAACAGCAACAATGGAAACAATCCCATTGAGAAAAAAAAAAAACCCTCAACCTAAATCTATATGTACTATAAAAATATTCTTTTTTTTGAGATGGAGTTTCACTCTATCACCCAGGTTGGAGTGCAGTGGCATGATCTTGGCTCGCTGCAACCTCTGCCTCCCAGGTTCAAGTGATTCCCCTGCCTCGGCCTCCCAAGTAGCTGGGATTGCAGGAGCCCACCACCACGGTGGGCTAATTTTTTTTTTTTTTTTTGAGACAGAGTCTCGCTCTGTCGTCCAGATTGGAAGGCAGTGGTGCGATCTCGGCTCACTGCAACCTCTGCCTCCCAGGTTCTAGCAATTCTCCTGCCTCAGCCTCTCGAGTAGCTGGGACTATAGGCGTGTGCTACCACGCGCCTATAATTTTTGTATCTTTAGTAGGGACGGGGTTTCACCATGTTGGCCAGGATGGTCTCGATCTCTTGACCTCATGATCTGCCCGCCTTGGCCTCCCAAAGTGCTGGGATTACAGGCGTGAGCCACCGCACCCGGCCTTTTTTTGTATTTTTAGTAGAGATGGGGTTTCACCATGTTGGCCAGGCTGGTCTTGAACTCCTGACCTCAGGTGATCCGCCTGCCTCTGCCTCCCAAAGTGCTGGGATTACAGGTGTGTGCCACTGCACCTGGCCTATAAAAATATTCTTTCAGGAACAATGGCAAGGCTGGGTGCGGTGGCTCGCACCTGTAATCCCGGCACTTTGGGAGGCCGAGGTGGGCGGATCACGAGGTCAGGAGATCAAGACCATCCTGGCTAACATGGTGAAACCCCGTCTATACTAAAAATACAAAAAATTAGCCGGGCATGGTGGCGGGCGCCTGTAATCCCAGCTACTCGGGAGGCTGAGGCAGGAGAATGGTGTAAACCCAGGAGGCGGAACTTGCAGTGAGCCGAGATCGTGCCACAGCACTCCAGCCTGGGCGACAGAGCAAGACTCCATCTCAAAAAAAAAAAAAAAAAAAAAAAAAAAGAACAATGGCAAAATAGTATAGAAAATGAGGAGTTCTGTTTCATCTGAAACCAAGACAGGCTGAAAAATACACACATTCACGCACACATATGTACATGTATACATACATATATTTGGGAAAAACTGCTGAAGATTATAACTGCTGAAAATCTGTACCTCAGATTAAAAAAAGTCTGTGGAAAAAAAGACCAAAGGAAAATGTTATAAATTTCTATATAAATAAAAACAGAGCGAGTCGGCTACCAATAGAGCACAGTTTTAAAAAGGCTCTATTTCAGGGAGGAAAGATTTGGACTAAAAATGCGAGTAAATGTAAACAAACAGTATATCAAACAGTCTTGTTTTCTACTACAAGGCAGAGCTGAAACACACCACAGTGACAGCACACACATGGGAGGGAGGGGATTTGAGTTTTGGAGGAAGTTAAAATGTTGACCAACTTTAAAATTGTATAAGCATTCATGTTAAAATTTCTAGAGAAACCACTAAAAAAAAACCCAGAACATTTACCATCTAAATTAGAGGAGGGGATAAATGAAAGATTAAAAAAAAAAATCATTCCAAAAGAAGGCAAGGACAAAAGACAAAACAGAAGAGGACAAATAAAAAGCACAAATTATGATAAAAATGTAAATATTTGCATAATTACATTTAATGGAAAATGATCCAGTTAAAATAAAAACATTGTCACACTGGATTTTTTTTTTTTTTGAGACTGAGTCTTACTCTGTAACCAGGCTGGATTGCAGTGGCGCGATCTCAGCTCACTACAACCTCCACCTCCCGGGTTCAAGCGATTCTCTTGCCTTAGCCTCTCAAGTAGCTGGGACCACAGGCTCACGTCACCATACCCGGCAAATTTTTTGTATTTTAGTAGAGATGGGGTTCCACATGTTGCCCAGGCTGGTCTCAAACTCCTGAGCTCAGGCAATCCGCCTGCCTCGGCCTCCCAAAGTGCTAGGAAGCCTGGCCTTTCGCACACCTTTCTTGGCAACTGATTTATCAAGCCTGAGAATACAGAAGACTTAAACAATATAATGGGAAGTTTGATCTCATCAAGATTTACAACACATTATACGCAACAGCTTCACAATACACATTCTTTCAGACTCATGCAGAATACGTAGGAGAACTGATGACATGGGGTCAGAAAGCAAGTCTCAGCAAATTTTAAGAGACTGGTATCAAATATATATTTGTTTACTACAAAGCAATTAAATTAGAAATCAATAGACTAAAGGTAACTGGAAGAACCCATGTGTGTAGGCACTAGGAATTTATACTTCTAAATAACTCTCAGAAACAATATTGGGAATTGAGAAATACTCGTAAGTAAATAACAGAAACGCTACCTATCGAAACCTGTGGGATGCAGCTCAAACATCACTGAAATGCCTGTGACATTAGGCAAGAAGGCTGAAATTTAATGAACCAAGCATCTAACTTAAGTTAGGAAAAACCCAAAAGAATAAATACAAAATCAACAAGAAAAAGAACATGAAATTAAATAGAAAAACATACAGTAGAGAAAAATAAAACAAAAAATTGGTTTTTGAAAATATTAATAAAATTGACAAACTTTCAACAGAACTGAGGGGAAAAATGGATGAACAATATCAGAATAAAAAGTGGGGACATAACTGTAGGTGCCATGGGTGTTGAAAAGGTTTTTATGAACAATTTTATGCTAGTAAATTTGAAAGCATGGATGAAATGGACAAATTCCTGGAAGAATATCTCGTTAAAGCTTATTCAAGAATAAAATAAAAAATCTGAAGTCTTATAACCACTAATGAAAATGAATCGGCAGACAAAAATCTTTCAATAGTGAAAAGCAGGTGAGAAAGTTTTGCTGGAGAGTTCTACCAAACATTCAAGGAACAAATAACTCCAACCTTACACAAACTTTTCCAGAGAAGAGAAAAACAACCCCCACCATCATATATATATATATATATATATATATATATATATATTTTTTTTTTTTTTTTTTTTTTTTTTTTTTTTTTGAGACAGTCTCACTCTGACGCCCAGGCTGGAGTGCAATGGTGCAATCTTCGCTCACTGTAACCTCCGCCTCCCTGGTTCAAGCGATTCTCCTGCCTCAGCCTCCCAATTAGCTGGGATTACAGGCATGAGCCACCACGCCCAGCTAATTTTGGTATTTTTAGTAGAGACAGGGTTTCGCCATGTTGGCCAGGCTGGTCTCGAACCCCTGACCTCAGGGTGATCCACCTGCCCTGGCCTCCCAAAGTGCTGGCCAAGGGATGAGCCACCGCGCCTGGCCCCCACTATCTAATTTTGAGGCTACTAAAACCTTGACACCAAAACCCAAAGAATATATGAGAAAGGAAAAATGACAAGCCAGTCATTTAAGAATGCAGATGCAAAAAGTCCCAAATAAAATTATTAGTAAACTGGGTCTATAAACCAAATAATGATAAAGAAGAGTTAATCCCAAGATTGTAAGGTTGGCCTAACATTAATTTTCCAACGTGATGTAGCACATTAACAGGTTAAATTAGAAAAGCCATTCAATCATCTCAATAGATGATGAAAGAAGCATTTGAGAAACTTAAAATTATGCAGAAATGTTTTTAAAACTTCACAAATTAGGAGGAATTTTTTTGTTAACTAAATAAGAGTTTTTCTTTTTTTTTTTTTTAATGACAACAAATGAGGACAGCGTGGTGGCTCACACCTATAATCCCAGCACTTTGGGAGGCCAAGGCAGGAGGATCACCTGAGGTCAGGCTTTTGAAACCAGCCCAGCAAAGATGGCGAAACCCCATTTCTACTAAAAATACAAAAATTACCCAGGGGTGGAGGAGTGTACCTGTAGTCCCAGCTACTTGGGAGGCTGAGGCAGGAGAATCACTTGAGACTGGGAGGCTGAGGTTGCAGTGAGCTGAGATCATGGCCACTGCACTCCAGCCTGGGTGACAGAGCTAGACCTTGTCTCAAAAATAAATAAATAAATAAATAAAATGAAAATAAAAATAAAAATAAATGACAGCAAACACCATACTTACTGGAAAATATTAAAAATCATTCCTATTTTCACCACTGCTATTCCATATTGTATTTTAAGTCTTTTTTTTTTTTTTTTGAGACAATCTCACTCTGTTGCCCAGGCTGGAGTGCAGTGGTATGATCTCAGCTCACTGCAACCTCTGCCTCCCGGGTTCAAGCGATTCTCCTGCCTCAGCCTCCCGAGTAGCTGGGATTACAGGTGCCCCCCACCACATCTAGCTAATTTTTGTGTTTTTAGTAGAGACGGGATTTCGCCATGTTGCCCAGGCTGGTCTTGAACTCCTGACCTTATGATCTGCCCACCTTGGCCTCTCAAAATGCTGGGAGTACAGGCGTGAGCCACCGCGCCCAGCCAAGGAGTTATTATAAAGTAGCAGTAAGTAAAACACAAGGCACTGGTACTAGGATAGACAGCAGTGAAACAGACTGGAAAGTTTTATTTCTATCCAACAGAAATCGCTTGATATAAATTGCAAGTATTTTTTTAAAATTTGTAATATGACCTAAAGAATTTATTTTTATGTAGTTGAATTTATCAATCTTTTTGTTTATAGCTTGTGTTTTTGCAAATTTAGGCCTTTCTTACTCTAAGAATATAGAATATACCTCTCGAATTTCTACTAGCATTTTTATGGTTCCACTTTTCATATTTAAATATCTGATCTGCCTTGGATTTATGTCAGTGTAATGTGTGGAGTAGAGACCTGCTCCCTGCCCTCAAGCCAAGAAGGTTATCCGACAGCTCAAGTGCCAAGTACTGAAGGACCCATCTTTTACCACTGTTTTGAAATACTAATGTTGTTTGTACTAAATGTTTATATGTTTTTGGTTCTATTTCTGAATTTCCTATTTTGCTCTATTAATCTTTCTATTCATTAGGACTCAAAAAATACAAGTTATAAGGTGAAAATTTCAATGCATCTGTCTACATAAAAATTAAGGACACCATAGACAATATTAAGAGAAAAGCTGCCAGCTCATAGAAGATATGTACTATGTCTAATACGTATAAGGAATTGATAGCTAGAATATAAGAAAACCTTCTAAACTAATAAGAAACTCAGAAAAAAATAATGAACAAGGAATATGATTAGACAGTGTACAAACGAGGAAACCAGATGATTATTAAGTACAAGACAGATGTTCAACCTCACTAGTGAACAAAAAAAGTGCAAGCTAAAACTACTACATTATTTAATACCTACTGGAGTGGCAAAAATTAGACAAAAAATAACAAGTGTCAGCAAGAATGTGGGTCAACCTTGGTGAACCTGCTGGGAATGAATTCATACAACCTTTCTGTAGGGCAACTGGGCAATACTTAGAGAAACTAAGCGTGTCCTACGAGCCACACATTCCACTGCTCAGCCTTCACTCCAGGGGAGCTGTCTACTAGGAACATGTGGAAACACGTGCCGGGATGGGTATACAGTGTTGCCTGCTGTTGAGAAGAGTTGGTGGCAGTCCAGGTTCTTCGCCTACCATGAACTTTCTATAAGTAGAAACGTGGTAAATGCTTACTACGGAATACTGCACATCAGTTAGATCAGCTGGATGAGGCCATGCACAGACCTTCAAAGCACTCAATGAAAAGTCAGAGTTAGATTCTTAGTGCAATTCTATTCATGTACATTTAAAACCCAGCGCTGTATTTTACATGCATAGCCAGGCCCGAATGCCACTGGTGAGTCTGGGGGGTGAGTGTGTGTCGGGGGCATGACCTGATTGTTCTAAAATAGACACCCGCCCGCCTCACTCACCGGAGGGCACCTGAGTCTGGCTGCTACCAACACAGAAAGGAAAGGTTTCCTGGAGGTTAAAGAAATGATTTATCAGGTCATTTCAGCACCTTGGAGCCTTTGAAAGACCCAGTATGTCAGGAGATGATACAGGCAGATAAGTTATGATCTAATGAGGGAAGAAAAGACAGGCACCACCTAGAAACCCCGGGGCAATTCAGGAGGGAAGTCCGAAGACCGCAAGGGTGTACGAACAGGAAGAGGAAAAACCCCGAAGGTAACCTTTTCTAGCATCACAGTTCAGCTCAAAACTAACCAGGGAACGGTTAACCCAACGCACTTTACTGAAGAATCTAAGCTGGAACAAATAATATGAAGTTTCTCACATTCTACTATTAGGTTTTGCACCGAGGAAATGTGAGGGAAAGAAATCGTGTCTTATAAGACTTGGATTCCCTACAGACAGCTTCAACCAAATCACAAGGTCATTACTGTCTTTGGTAGTTCTGAACGTGAATGGAAAAATTATTCCCCTTAACCAAGTGATGTAGAACCAATCTTGCTTAGTATGTCTATGTTACGCAACTCATTGCCATTGCAAACACTTCACAAAAACAGGTCCAGGCTGGGTCTGAAGACAACCCCATGTACCTATATTGCTGCAGTTCTCCCTTCTCTGAGGGGGTATGTTCCAAGACCCTCAGTGGATGCTTGGATCTGCAGACAGCACCAATCCCAACCCGTCTGCCAGCAATCGGAGCTCGTGTTCATGTCTTCTACCTACAAATGTCCCTAAGCACTTGTCACACAGTGGTCATAACTTGAACGTATGAAGTGTGACAGCAAAACTAATATAAATTTCTTTTTCCTTCTTCACACCTTCACAGACAGAAGATGATTTGTTCTTACAGTAGGTCTCAGCGACCTCAGCATTTGATTTTTTTTTCTTCTCCAAGTTCAGAACTTTCACATCTTTTCACTTAAAGGAAGCACTTGGTAGCTTCTCTTCAGCATATACAAATTACCAGCCAGCATCATGCCTCTTCTGCTTCAGGGCCATTATTAAATAAAAGTGACTTGAACATAAGCACGGCCACATAGACAGCTGATCTGAGAACTGAGTTGGCTACTAAGTGATGGGCAGGTGGGGACTCCGGGCAAAGGAGGATTCGCATGCAGGAGGCAATGGATCAGAACGACGCATTTCATCCCACTACTCAGAATGGTGCACAATTTAAAACTTATGAAGGATTTATTTCTGGAATTTTCCATCGCATATTTTTGGACCACGGTTGACTGCAAGTAACCGAAACTATGGAAAGCAAAACCGTGTATAAGAGAGGACTTCGGTATAGGTTTATAGACTCTCCTACCTTGTCCAGACACCCACCATTAACCAGCACTTTTAAGATACAGTCAAGACAAGCACAGTTGAGCTGGGAAAGAGGTAGAAATGAGCTTCTAAAAGACATCCCCCTTCCTGTGTCAGGATATACAGTAGGGCAGAGGTCAGTGAGCATACTTACACACTACAGCAGGGTCAAAGTGCACACCTACACGCTAGGAAGGGGCCGGCGTGCATACCATGAATTTTGTGAAGATTTGTTCCAAAATATAGAATAAACATATCTTAGGAAAGAAATTGTCTTTAAAGCGACATCCTGGCCAGGCGTGGTGGCTCACACCTGTAATCCCAGCACTTTGGGAGGCCGAGGTGGGAGGATCACCTGAGGTCAGGAGATCGAGACCAGCCTGGCTAACATGGTGAAACCCCATCTCTACCAAAAATGCAAAAATTAGCCGGGTGTGGTGGTATGCGCCCGTAATCCCAACTACTTGGGAAGCTGAGATGGGAGAATCGCTTGAACCTGGAAGGTGGAGGCTGCAGTGAGTGGAGATCACACCACTGCACACCAGCCTGGCCAACAGAGTGAGACTCTGTCTCAAAAAAATAAAAAAAATTAGCCGGGCATAGTGGTGGACGCCTGTAATCCCAGCTACTCGGGAGACTGAGGCAGGAGAATCGCTTGAACCCAGAAGGCCGAGGTTGCAGTGAGCCAAGATCGTGCCACTGCACTGCAGCCTGGGCGACAGAGTGAGACTCTGTCTCTAGATAAATAAATAAAGCCACATCCCCCCAAAATCCCTATATGGTGACTTAACAGCCAAGCCCTTTTCAAAAAGCTGTGTTTTCCTTGACCTTCAAGAGCACCATGAATGAGAGCGTTTCACGGTGGGAACTCTTTCTGAATCACCCCGCTCACTACCATGAGTGGGCTTCTTCATATGGGGAAGCGGTGGGTGAAAATAAAGATCAGTAAACACAAAACAGCCATTGTTGGCCCTAATGCTAGTGGCTCTTGACGACATTCATCCATGTGAACAGGCATCAGTGTCTTCTATGTGACAGGCACTTTGCTTTGATTTTACTCAAACGAAGAAAAGAGTCCTGTTTTTTCATAGTTTCTATCTGGTTCTGTGTTACTTCCTATTTTTATGTAATTGTGTATTAACAAAAATGAGTTTTATAATAAGAAATGTACTGGAAAAGGAAGCAATGAATGATGTCAAGACTCTTGTAGAGTTTTTTAAACTCAATTCATAAATTGAAGGAAACTGAGTCCATACATTCTTTGTTTTCTATTATTCGACTTAAGTAGGGCTTTAAAAAACAAAAACAATCCCTTAGACTAAATTAACCATTTCCTTTTTACTCTAAAAGTAATTTATAGACTACTTTCGTAAAAATAGGATTTTACCCTAGTTATCATGACACACCCGAGAGCTCTGAGCACACGCCTGGTTCCTTCTCTACGTTCACACACCTAGCCCAATGTCCATGTCATCCCTGTCCCCACCACACTAAAGTTGCACATTCATACACAAGTGCACAGAGCCAACTTCAGGCAGAGGTAAGAGGAGCTGGGGCTCCTAGAGCGTTTTCTTCCTCCAAGGTCAAAAGAAACCAACACTCATACCACACCCACCTGTAAACTACCAGATATTGCAATAACTAACACTTCTTTTTCTTTTTCTTTTTTTTTTTTTTTTTTAAGACAGATTCTCACTCTGTCGCCCAGGCTGGAGTGCAGTGGCATGATCTCAGCTCACTGCAACTTCTGCCTCCCGGGTTTGAACAATTCTCCTGCCTCAGCCTCCCAAGTAGCTAGGATTACAGGCACCTGCCACCATGCCTGGCTAATTTTTGTATTTTTAGTAGACACAGGGTTTCACCATGTTGGCCAGGCTGGTTTCGAACTCCTGACCTCAAGTGATCCACCCATCTCAGCCTCACAAAGTGCTGGGATTGATTACAGGCGTGAGCCACTGCGCCCAGCCTCAATAACTAACATTTCTAAAATCCCAGTTTACTCTTGATACCACAGGCCAGGCAAGGTGGCCGAGTTTTATGTATTTATTTTTTTGAGATGGAGTCTTGCTCTGTCACCCAGACTGGAGTGCAATGGTGCGATCTTGGCTCACTGCAACCTCCACCACCTGGGTTCAAATGATTCTCCTGCCTCAGCTTCCTGAGTAGCTGGGATTACAGGTATGCACTACCATACCCGGCTAATTTTTGTATTTTTAGTAGAGATGGGGTTTCACCAGGTTGGCCAGGCTTGTCTCGAACTCCTGACCTCAGATGATCCACCAGCCTCGGCCTCCCAAAGTGCTGGGATTACAGGCATGAGCCACCACGCCCTGCCAGGTGGCTGAGTTTTCATTTTCCTCATCTGTACTGCCAAGGAGCCGATCTGTAAGAACGTGAGGCTTTAAAAAGTGTCTCTCTAGAATCTGGCCTAGCCTTGTCTCTTCCACCTTCCTTTCCACAATTTGAACCAGGTCTCCTATGAAAGTGCTACTCATGGCCAGGCGCGGTGGCTCACGCCTGTAATCCCAGCACTTTGGGAGGCCGAGGTGGGTAAGTCACGAGGTCAAAAGATCGAGATCATTCTGGCTAACATGGTGAAACCCTGTCTTTACTAAAAATACAAAAATTAGCTGGGTGTGGTGGTGAGTGCCTGTAATCCCAGCTATTTGGGAACCTGAAGCAGGAGAATCGCTTGAACCCGAGAAGCAGAGGTTGCAGTGAGCTGAGACTGCACCACTGCACTCCAGCCTAGGCGACAGAGCGAGACTCTATCTCAAAAAAAAAAAAAAAAAAAAAAAAAAAAGAAAGAGCTACTCACTTGGGAACCCCTTCCCACTGCCTCCCTGCTGCCCTCCTCCCAGGCTTCAAAGCTTGGCTCAAAAACTCTACCGAACATGGTCAAGCCTTCGTGACTCCTTCATCACTGGCCTCCCCGCCGGACTCTCATGTCTGCTGTTGATACCCACCACTTGCTCACTCTATGTGCCATTTTTCCCACTTGGATACAATTGATCCCATAAGGTTTCTGCATGTAATTCTTGTTTTCCTCCATTAGACGATAAACTCCTTGTAGGCAAAGCTCTTTTTTTGTGTTTTGAGATGGAGCCTCACTCTTGTCACCCAGGCTGGAGTGCAATGGCATGATCTCGGCTCACTGCAACCTCTGCCTCCTGGGTTCAAAAGATTCTCCTGCCTCAGCCTCCAGGGTAACTGGGACTACAGGCACCAGCCACCACACCCAGCTAATTTTTGTATTTTGAGTAGAGATGGGGTTTCACCACGTTGGCCAGGCTGGTCTCGAACTCCTGACCTCAGGTGATCCACCCCTCTTGGCCTCCCAAAGTGCTGGGATTACCGGTGTGAGCCACCACACCCAGCCGGCAAAGCTTTTTAATTAAAAAAATTTTTTTGGAGATGGGGTCTCATTACATCACCCAGGCTGGCCTGAACCACCTGGGCTCAAACAATCCTCCTGCCTCAGCTTCCCGAGTTGGGACTACAGGTGTGAGCCACTGCACCCAGCAAAGAACTAAAAAAAAAAAAAAAAAAAAAGCCACAACATTTTGTATAATACTTGTCACAAAATACAGACTTAATCACTATTTGTTACTTAACCAAAATTCATATTTAAAAACTCTAAAACCAGCCGGGTACAATGGCTCATGCCTGTAATCCCAGCACTTTGGGAGGCTGAGGTGGGCGGATCACTTGAGGTCAGGAGTTTGAGACCAGCCTGGCCAACAAGGTGAAATGCTGTCTCTACCAAAAAATACAAAAATTAGCCGGGCATGGTGGCGTGTGCCTGTAATCCCAGCTACTCGGGAGGCTGAGGTGGGATAATTGCTTGAATTTGGGAGGTGGAGGATGCCCTAAGCAAAGACTGAGCCACTGCACTCTAGCCTGGGTGACAGAGTGACACCCTGTCTCAAAAACAAAACAAAACTCTAAAACCATCTAAATAAAAAAAAAAGAGCACCCTAAAAACAGACCTTGGATCTAAAAGAAAAGCTTAAATACTTAAGAGTAGTTTCAGACATGTTAACATCAGTGTGGTTATTATCCCTCCCTCTCCACCATATTTATAGATCAAGTCCTTCCAATTTAGGAGAAATTAATCTCATCCAATTTATACATTTAAATCGGGACATGGGGCGGTGGAGGGGAGTGAGTTTAAACACACAGCAGTAGAAAGGACGTTTAACCCAGCTTCATAAATAACGATGTATTAAAAAGTTGACACCAATAAACATTACACACGCTAACCCAGTAACGCCTCCCAATATTAACAGGTAATCCATGTCAATATGAATGTGTATGCTCTACACGTGTAATCCATGAACAAAATTAATCTTAAAAATGGGCCTCCACAGAAATACAGAGGCTGCAGTAAAATAAATATGAAGCATATGAAGCAACTACTCTTTAGTCTGCGCTATTTCTCAATTTCAAGAAAAAAACCTTGGAAAGAAAAGAATGCTTCCAAAAATTCTCCCTAAGCAAACGAGGACTATATCCCAGCACTGAAGATCAAAGAAAGATCCAGGTGGAAGTTGGCTGCTGGGAGTGTGGGCAGTTTTGTTCTGGAGTTTGAAACATTGATGCGGTCACGGTTTAGCACCCTTTTCCTATGATTCTGCTTTTCCTCCAAACTGGGATTTCCCTTACTTCTGAAATGCCTTACGTAAGAACTTAGAACCTTAAACACAGATTTTAAAAGGCTAGTAATTCTACTTCCTGGAAGAATGATCATGCTTTCACTTATTTTTTTAATTTTAAATTTATTTTTTTAAAATAAAAAGCACTTTCTGAACAATATACAAAAACGAGGTTGATTTCAAACTGTCTCTGTTGTGAATAGTTTCAGCTGTGTTAATAGGAGCAGTGATTTACTCCCAGCCACACATCACATGGAAGTAATTGATTTCGCCCACACTTAAAGCAAACAAGTTCACCAGGTCGCCTTACCTAGAGAGGCTGGGTTTTAACAGGCCTCGAGGGAAGAAGTTTCCTAGTGTCGGTTCGCCATCACTGAAAAAGATACCAAAACCAGATTTTCCTAAAGTAAAATCTCACCTGAAAACAATCTTGACCAGACATCTGATTGGGTCCTAGTAACAAAAAGGAATGACCCAGAAGGAAGGCGAGGGGAGGTCAACCAGAGCAGAGTCTAGCTGGGGAACAGTTCTAGCTGATGCAATGTTTGCAAACTGGTATCAATCTCCGAGGTTTTGGAAAATAATGAAAATTGAAAAAAGAAATGTTTGTGAAGAGAGACACTGCATGTTTTTTACTCAGCTCATTTTTGAAAAATGGACAGCTGGTATGTCTATTACATTTCTGGATTCCTGAGCAAATTATTTATGGATAGAAGAAAATTCCAGTTGAAGTCATTCTACTTTTGTGAAACAAGTTTGTGTGCTTTGTCTTTATTTGCTTAGCAAATATTACCGAGCACCCAATATGTGCTTCACTAATGAGATAAATGTAGTACTTCTTGCTAGGAAGGAATTATTACACCTTATTGTTTAGGGTTCTACAGTGCTCCCCCAACACCCCCACCCCAAGAAGCTCAAAATTCTTGGCTGAATTTTTAATCCATGCTCCCAGTGAAAAGAAAGCTGGCTTAGAGCATGTTCATTTAGCACTGGTATTTATAACACCTGGTTAGACTGGCAGCCGTGGTCTGATTTACATATCTTATCTCAAGTTGAACAGATTTAAATCCACACCAGGGTGGAAGAAGCTCACACAAGACCTCCTGGTGGGAATCCAAAGCATGAAACTTTTAACCTCATCTTCCACCAGTCCCTTTGCGAGCCAGATGATGGATGATGTCAGTAAGGTGAGGCCAGTAACCACCTCCTCTCTGGGCAGGAGCTAGAGGCTGCTTCTCCTCCCGCTCTTCCTATACCTCTGGGGAACCTGCTAGCAAATTCCTCAAGTCAATCCAAGCCTGTGGGCACAAAGGCATTACCCAGTTTTAATAGGGCAGAGAGAAAGCAGGGGTTTTTAGCACATTTTTAAGCAATGGGGACCACCAAATGTTTGTTGAAAAAACTGGAAGATTCCAACTAACAGTTCCCATGTTACTATTTTCAGAAGTCCAAGGAATGGCTATCAACCTCTCTCAGAGAAATCAGGACACCTTTAAGTAGCTCAAGGGTAGAGTCGACTATGGAAAACAGAATAGAGATTTCTCAGGGACTAAACCTAGAACTACCACAGGACCCAGCAATCTCACTACTGGTTATCTACCTACAGGGAGAGAAATCATTACATCAAAAGACACCTGCACTTGCATCTTTACCGCGGCGCTGTTCACAGTAACCGTCACAGAATCAATCTAGGCGTCCATCGACAGACGACAGGATAAAGAAAATGTGGTATATAAACACCACGGACGACTACTCAGCCATAAAAATGAATGCAATCATGTCTTTTGCAGCAACGTGGATGGAACTGAAGGCATTATCCTAAGTGAAAGTCAAACTCTAACTCTGAAAGTCAAACACTGCATGTTCTCACAAGTGGGAACTAAACGATGGGTCCACATAAATGCACAGAGTGAAATAATGGACACGGGAGACTCCAAAAGGTGGGAAGGTCCATGGAGTGGGGAGAGGAGGGCTGAAAAACTGCCTATTGTGGCTGGCACAGTGGCTCACACCTGTAATCCCGGCACTTTGGGAGGCTGAGGTAGGTGAATCACTTGAGCTCAGGAGTTCGAGACCAGCATGGCCAACATGGCAAAACCCCGTCTCTACTAAAATGCAAAAATTAGCCAGGCATGGGGGCACACGCCTGTAGTCCCAGATACTCCGGAGGCTGAGGTGGGAGAATTGCTTGAGCCCAGGAGGTGGAGGCTGCGGTGAGCCAAGATCTTGCCACTGCACTCCAGCCTGGGTGACAGAGCGAGACTTGGTCTAAAAAAAAAAAAAAAAAAAAAAAAAAATCAGAAGTAAAGAAAAAAAAGAAAATTAACAGAGCAGACTCACCTCATGCACATTTTAGTGCCATCTCATTCTTAAAGTGATACTGCTGGCATTAGCAGGAGCTCATGCAACAAATTCATTGGTTACCTGGTGTAGATGGAGGGCAATTTGTGGCATATAAAGAAACCACGGTACAGCGCCTCTAAGTCAGTTTGGCAAGTCTGACAGAGCTGGTTCTAGCTTTCTACTGTAGCACAACACTCTTTTTTTTTTTGAGACAGGGTCTCGCTCTGTCTTACAGGCTAGAATGCAGTGGCACAATCACAGCTCACTGTAGCCTCAACCTCCTGGGCTCAAGCATCTCCTGCCTCAGCGTCCTGAGTAGCTGGGTCTACAGGTACACACTACCACACCTGGCTAATTTTTTAATTTTTTGTAGATGGGGGTCTCCCTATGTTTCCCAGACTGGTCTCAAACTCCTGGGTTCAAGCAATCCTCCCACCTTGGCCTCCCAAAGTGTTGGGATTACAGGCATGATCTAGCATGCCCGGGTATGTAATACTTTTAAAAAACTTTTTTTTGAACCTAAAATTCAATTCGACAATTGACATGCCCAGGTGTCTTCCCCTTGTTCATACCATCTTATATCCTCCTTTTTCTATTCTGTCTTCCTCAGTCCCTAACATCCTGTTCAACTTCAAGTTAATCCCTCCATATGTAAACGTCTACTCCACAGGAGAGCCGGGAAACAAGATCTGCCACTGCAACCTACTCAGAAAGCTTCGCTGGTCCATGCCCCCGACTGGAAGGCTAACCCCTTGCGGCATAATAACTGACTCCTCAATTCCACCATGTTGGCCTAAATTGCCCCCTATGCTGCCCTTGTTGGCCCAGCTCAAATGCTACGTTCTCCAGCTGGTGTTCTGACACCCCTGACAGAAAGACTCTCTGTCCTCTGCTCCCAAAACACCTGTGGGTCTCTGTTATCAATTCACATCGGACATTGAATGTCTCCTTTACCCAAGCAAGCCTTCATGGGAGCAGGGCCCACACTGCCTTAGTCACCTCCGTATTCCCAGCGTGTTAGGAACTCAAATCTTCACTACAACTCTTTAAACTCTCAGCATGTTTGTTTATTTATTTATTTATTTTGGAGATAAAGTCTCGCTCTGTCGTCCAGGTTGGAGTGTAGTGGCGTGATCTCGGCTCACTACAACCTTCGCCTCCTGAGTTCAAGCGATTCTCCTGCCTCAGCCTCCCGAGTAGCTGGGATTACAGGCACACACCACCATGCCAAGCTAATTTTTTGTATTTTTAGTAGAGATGGGGTTTCACCATGTTGGCCAGGGTGGTCTCAAACTCCTGACCTCAGGTGATCCGCCTGCCTTGGCCTCCCATAGTGCTGGGATTACAGGTGTAAGCCACTGTGCCCAGCCAAAATGCTCTGAATATTTATAGAAAATACCAATTGTACTATTTTTGGAGGCAGCAATGGACCCAACTCACCTGTTTATAGTCTAGTACAAAGGAGTATAGACTTTTTTTTTTTTTTTTCACACAGAGAGTTCCTTTAAGTAATATGTGCAAACTAAATGGTTTGAAATACCCCCAGAATCCGGTTTGTAAAGGAAAGCTATAGTGAAACTCCAGTTTCAAGGTCTGAGAAGTCATTCA